>NC_000006.12:61129934-61357029 GCF_000001405.40 Homo sapiens
GTTTTCTAAATATACAGTCATGTTATCTGAAAACAGAGACAATTTGGCTTCTTCTCTTCCTGTTTAAATACCTTTTATTTCTTTCGCTTGCCAGATTGCCCTGGCCAGAACTTCCAATACTGTGTTGAATAGGAGTGGTGAGAGAGGGCATCCTTGTCTTTTGCTGGTTTTCAAAGGTAATACTTCCAGCTTTTGCCCATTCAATATGATATTGGCTGAGGGTTTGTCATAAGTAGCTCTTATTATTTTGAGATACTTTCCATTGATACCTAGTTTATTGAGAGTTTTTGGCATGAAGGGGTGTTGAATTTTGTCAAAGGTCTTTTCTACATCTATTGAGATAATCATGTGTTTTTTGTCCTTGGTTCTGTTTCTGTGGTGGATTATGTTTATCAATTGGTGTATGTTGAACCAGCCTTGCATCCCAGGGATAAAGCCGACTTGATCATTGTGGATAAGCTTTTTGATGTGCTGCTGGATTCGGTTTGCCAGTATTTTATTGAGGATTTTTGCATCAATGTTCATCAGGGTAATGGCCTGAAATTTTCTTTTTTTGTTGTGTCTCTGCCAGGTTTTGGTGTCAGGATGATGCTGGCCTCATAAAATGAGTTAGGGAGGATTCCCTCTTTTTCTATTGTTTGGAATAGTTTCAGAAAGAGCGGTACCAGTTCCTCTTTGTACCTCTGGAAGAATTTGGCTGTGAATCCATCTGGTCCTGGGCTTTTTTTGGTTGGTGGGCTATTAATTACTGCCTCAATTTCAGAACTTGTTATTGGTCTATTCAGGGATTTGACTTCTTCCAGGTTTAGTATTGGGAGTGTGTATGTGTCCAGGAATTTATCCATTTCTTCTAGATTTTCTAGTTTATTTGCACAAAGGTGTTTATAGTATTCTCTCATGGTAGTTTGTATTTCTGTGGGATCAGTGGTGATATCCCCTTTATCATTTTTTATTGTTTCTATTTGATTCTTCACTCTTTTCTCCTTTATTAGTCTGGCTAGCAGTCTATCAATTTTGTTAATCTTTTCAAAAAACCAGCCCCTGGATTTATTGATTTTTGAAGGGTTTTTCATGTCTCCATGTCCTTGAGTTCTGCTCTGATCTTAGTTATTTCTTGTCTCCTGCTAGATTTTGAATTTGTTTGCTGTTGTTTCTCTAGTTCTTTTAATTGTGATGTTCGGGTGTCGATTTTAGATCTTTCTGACTTTCTCCTGTGGGCGTTTAGTGCTATAAATTTTCCATCTAAACACTGCTTTATCTGTGTTCCAGAGATTCTGCTGTGTTGTGTCTTTGTTCTCATTGGTTTCAAAGAATTTATTTATTTCTGCCTTAATTTCATTATTTTCCCAGTAGTCATTCAGGAGCAGGTTGTTCAATTTTCATGTAATTGGGCAGTTTTGAGTGAGTTTCTTATCCTGAGTTCTACTTTGATTGCACTGTGTTCTGACAGACTGTTCTTTGATTTCCGTTCTTTTGCATTTGCTGAGGAGTGTTTTACTTCCAATTATGTGGTCAGTGTTAGAATAAGTGTGATGTGGTGCTGAGAAGAATGTATATTCTGTTGATTTTTGGTGGAGAGTTCTGTAGATGTCTATTAGGTCTGCTTGGTCTAGAGCTGAGTTCAACTCCTGAATATCCTTGTTAATTTTCTGTCTCATTGATCTGTCTAATATTGACAGCAGGCTATTAAAGTCTCCCACTATTATTGTGTGGGAGTCTAAGTCTCTGTGTAGGTCTCCAAGAACTTGCTTTATGAATCTGGGTGTTCCTTATTGGTTGCATATATATTTAGGATAGTTAGCTCTTCTTGTTGCATTGATCCCTTTACCATTTTGTAATGCCCTTCTTTGTCTCTTTTGAACTTGTTGGTTTAAGTGTGTTTTATCAGAGACTAGGACTGCAACCCCTTCTTTTTTTTTTCCTTTCCATTTGCTTGGTAAATATTTCTCCATCTCTTTATTTTGAGCCTATGTCTGTCTTTGCATGTGAGATGGGTGTCCTGAATACAGCACACTGATGGGTCATGACTCTTTATACAATTTTCTACTTTATGTTTTTTAATTGGGACATTTAGTCCATTTACACTTAAGTTTAATATTGTTATATGTTAATTTGATCCTGTGATTATGATGCTAGCTGGTTCCTTTGCCCATTAGTTGATGCAGTTTCTTCATAGTGTCGATGGTCTTTACAATTTGGTATGTTTTTGCAGTGGCTGGTACCAGTTTTTCCTTTCCATATTTCCTTTCTTCAGGAAGGACCGGTGGTAATAAAATCTCTCAGCATTTGCTTGTCTGTAAAGGATTTTATTTCTCCTTTGCTTATGAAGCTCAATTTGGCTGGATATGAAATTCTGGGTTGAAAATCCTTTTCTTTAAGAATGTTGAATATTGGCCCCCAGTCTCTTCTGTCCTGTCAGGTTTCTGCAGAGAGATCCGCTGTTAGTCTGATGCGCTTCCCTTTGTGGGTTACCTGATCTTTCTCTCTGGCTGCCCTTAACATTGTTTCCTTCATTTCAACCTTGGTGAATCTGACAATTGTGTGTCTTGGGGTTGCTTTTATCGAGGAGCATCTTTGTGGTGTTCTCTGTATTTCCTGAATTTGTATGTTGGCCTGTCTTCTAGGTTGGGGAACTTCTCCTGGATAATATCCTGAAGTGTTTTCCAACTTGGTTCTATTTTCCCCATCACCTTCAAGTACACCAATCAAACATAGGTTTGGTCTTTCACATAGTCCCATATTTCTTGGAGGCTTCATTCATTCCGTTTTATTCTTTTTTCTCTAATCTTGTCTTCATGCTTTATTTTATTAAGTTGATCTTCAATCTCTGATATCCTTTCTTCTGCTTGATCGATTCGGTTATTGATACCTGTGTATGCTTCGCAAAATTCTCGTGCTGTTTTTTTCAGCTCAAGCAGGTCATTTATGTTCTTCTCTAAACTGGTTATTCTAGTTAACAATTATTCGAACATTTTTTCAAGATTCTTAGCTTCTTTGAATTTGTTTAGAACATGCTCTTTTAGCTCAGAGGAGTTTGTTATTATCCACCTTCTGAAGCCTACTTCTGTCAATTCATCAAACTCATTTTCCAACCAGTTTTGTTCCCTTGCTGGTGAGGAGTTGTGATCCTTTGGGGAAAAAGAGGGCTTCTGGATTTTGGAATTTTCAGCCTTTTTGCACCAGTTTTTCCTCATCTTCATGGATTTATCTACCTTTGGTCTTTGATGTTGGTGATCTTCGGATGGGGTTTTTGTGTGGACATCCTTTTTGTTGATGTTGATGCTATTCCTTTTTGTTTGTTAGTTTTACTTCTAACAGTCAGGCTGACCCTGTTTTCCTGAGTGTCACCAGCGGAGGCTGCAGAACATCAAAGATTACTGCCTGTTCCTTCCTCTGGAAGCTTCATCCCAGAAGGGCACCCACCAGATGCCTGCCGGAGCTCTCCTATATGACTTGTCTTTTAAACCCCTGCTGGGAAGTGTCTCTCCATCAGGAGGTATGCAGGGTCAGAGACCCACTTGAGGAAGCAGTCTGTCCCTTAGCAGAGCTAGAGCACTGTGCTGGGAGATCTGCTGCACTCTTCAGAGCTGGTAGGCAGGAACATTTAAGTCTTCCAAAGCTGTGCCCACAGCCACTCCTTCTCCCAGGTGCTCTGTCCCAGGGAGGTGAGAGGTTGATGTATAAGCTTTTGACTGGTTCTGTTGCCTTTCTTTTAGAGATGCTCTGCCCAGAGAGGAGAAATCTAGAGAGGCAGTCTGGCTACAGTGACTTTGCCAAGCTGCGGTGGGCTTTGCCCAGTTCAAACTTCCTGGTAGCTTTGTTTACACTGTGAGGGGAAAACTGCCTACTCAAGCCTCAGTAATGGTGGATGCCCCTCTCACCCCCAAGCTTGAGCATCCCAGGCCAACTTCAGACTACTGGGCTGGCAGCAAGAATTTCAAGCCAGTGGATCTTAGCTTGCTGAGCTCCATGGGGGTGGGATCTGCTGAGCTAGACTACTTGGCTCCCTGACTTCAGCCCCCCTTTTAGGGGAGTGAACACTTATGTCTCGCTGGAGTTCCAGGTGCCACAGGGGTATGAAAAAAAAATACCTGCAGCTAGCTCAGTGTCTTCCCAAGTGGCTTCCCAGTTTTATGCTTGAAACCCAGGGCCCTGGTGCTGTAGGCAACCAAGGGAATCTACTGGTCTGTGGGTTGTGGAGACCATGGGAGAAGCCAACTATCTGGGCTAGCATGCACCATTTCTCATGGCACAGTCCCTCACGGCTTCCCTTGGCCAGGCGAGGGAGTTCCCCCACCCCTTGCACTTCCTGGGTGAGGCCATGCCCCATTAAGCTTTGTCTTGCCCTCCGTGGGCTGCACCTACTGTCTAACCAGTCCTAATGAGATGAGCTGGATACCTCAGTTGGAATTGCAGAAATCACCCCCTTCTTCATTGATCTCGTGGGGAGCTGCAGACCGGAGCTGTTCCTATTCAGCCATCTTGCCACCCACCCTTCTGTCACCTGTATTTTTTTTTTCTTTTTTTGGGGGAGGCGGTGGATGGAGTCTTGCTCTGTCACCCAGGCTGGAGTGCAGTGGCAAGATCTTGGCTCACTGCAACCTCCACCTCCCAGGTTCAAGAGATTCTCCTGCCTCAGCCTCCAGAGTAGCTGGAATTACAGGCACACAGCACCACACCTGGCTATTTTTAGTATTTTTAGTAGAGACGAAGTTTCTACTACAGGCTGGTCTCAAACTCCTGATCTCAGGTGATCCGCCCACCTTGGCCTCTAAAATTGTTGGGATTACAGGCGTGAGCCACCGTGCCCAACTGAACCATGAATTATTGTAAGCACTTCTACAGGAGCAAGAATGCCACAGCAGAGAGAAAAGTAACTTAGCATTATTGAGAACCTCATTCTGTGCCAGGTAGAAAATGAAGCACTTTTTTGCTTGCATAATCTCATTTAATAATTATTGCAATCTTTATTATACAAAATTCTGAGAGAGTGACTCCAGTGTCACAAAATAATGAGTGATGAATGTAGCTCAACTCCTTAATAAAAAGCAGTTATTCTGTGTATGGTATCATACATTTTTTAGGAAGACAAAAATAGAATATTTTGCTATTCCAGAAGAGCCAAAAGTACAGAAATGGAAAGAAGATACTGAAAAATGAAATAAAAAATATGTGTCCATATATTTTTATATTTCTTAGCACTAAAATTTACCTAGCAAACTTGATCTCCTCCATGCCTGAGGTTCCAATTCTGTTCCTGCATTAGATTATGGTAGCACCTCTAAGTTTTTGGCTGCAATGTAAACTATTACTAGTCATCTAATTAATACAATATATGTATGACAATAGATACAATCAAAGTATAAGAATTTTTTTTTTACCATTCTCTTTTTTTATTATTATTATACTTTAAGTTCTAGGATACATGTGCACAATGTGCAGGTTTCTTACATATGTATACATGTGCCATGTTGGTGTGCTGCACCCATTAAATCATCATTTACATTAGGTATATCTCCTAATGCTATCCCTCCCCCAGCCCCCCAACCCCATAACAGGCCCCCATGTGATGTTCGCCACCCTGCATCCAAGTGTTCTCATTGTTCAATTCCCAGCTATGAGTGAGAATATGCAGTCTTTGGTTTTCTGTCCTTGTGATAGTTTGTGCAGAATGATGGTTTCCAGCTTCATCCATGTCCCTGCAAAGGACAAGAACTCAGCCTTTTTTATGGCTGCATAGTATCCCATGGTGTATATGTGCCACATTTTCTTTCTATTTATTTATTTATTTATTTATTTATTTGTCTATTTATTATTATTATACTTTAAGTTTTAGGGTACATGTGCACAATGTGCTGGTTAGTTACATATGTATACATGTGCCATGCTGGTGCGCTGCACCCACTAACTAGTCATCTAGCATTAGGTATATCTCCCAATGCTATCCCTCCCCCCTCCCCCCACCCCACAACAGTCCCCAGAGTGTGATGTTCCCCTTCCTGTGTCCATGTGTTCTCACTGTTCAATTCCCACCTATGAGTGAGCATATGAGTTGTTTGGTTTTTTGTTCTTGTGCTAGTTTACTGAGAGATGATTTCCAATTTCATCCATGTCCCTACAAAGGACATGAACTCATCATTTTTGATGGCTGCATAGTATTCCATGGTGTATATGTGCCACATTTTCTTAATCCAGTCTGTCATTGTTGGACATTTGGGTTGGTTCCAAGTCTTTGCTATTGTGAATAATGCCACAAAAAACGTACGTGTGCATGTGTCTTTATAGCAGCATGATTTATAGTCCTTTGGGTATATACCCAGTAATGGGATGGTTGGGTCAAATGGTATTTCTAGTTCTAGATCCCTGAGGAATCTCCACACTGACTGCCACAATGGTTGAACTAGTTTACAGTCCCACCAACTGTGTAAAACTGTTCCTATTTCTCCACATCCTCTCCAGCACCTGTTGTTTCCTGACTTTTTAATGATCACCATCTAACTGGTGGGAGATGGTATCTCATTGTGGTTTTGATTTGCATTTCTCTGATGGCCAGTGATGGTGAGCACTTTTTCATGTGTTTTTTGGCTGCATAAATGTCTTCTTTTGGGAAGTGTCTGTTCATGTCCTTTGCCCACTTTTTGATGGGGTTGTTTGTTTTTTTCTTGTAAATTTGTTTGGGTTCATTGTAGATTCTGGATATTAGCCCTTTGTCAGATGAGTAGGTTGCGAAAATTTTCTCCCATTTTGTAGGTTGCCTGTTCACTCTGATGGTAGTTTCTTTTGCTGTGCAGAAGCTCTTTAGTTTAATTAGATCCCATTTGTCAATTTTGGCTTTTGTTGCCATTGCTTTTGGTGTTTTAGACATGAAGTCCTTGCTCATGCTTATGTCCTGCATGGTAATGCCTAGGTTTTCTTCTAGGGTTTTTATGGTTTTAGGTCTAACATGTAAGTCTTTAATCCATCTTGAATTAATTTTTGTAAAAGGTGTAAGGAAGGGATCCAGTTTCAGCTTTCTACATATGGCTAGCCAGTTTTCCCAGCACCATTTATTAAATAGGGAATCCTTTCCCCATTGCTTGTTTTTCTCCGGTTTGTCAAAGATCAGATAGTTGTAGATATGTGACATTATTTCTGAGGGCTCTGTTCTGTTCCATTGATCTATATCTCTGTTTTGGTAACAGTACCATGCTGTTTTGTTTGCTGTAGCCTTGTATTATAGTTTGAAGTCAGGTAGCATGATGCCTCCTGCTTTGTTCTTTTGGCTTAGGATTGACTTGGTGATGCGGGCTCTTTTTTGGTTCCTTATGAACTTTGAAGTAGTTTTTTCCAATTCTGTGAAGAAAGTCATTGGTAGCTTGATGGGGATGGTATTGAATCTGTAAATAGACATCTACAGAACTCTCCACCCCAAATCAACAGAATATACATTCTTCTCAGCACCACACCACACCTATTCCAAAATTGACCACATACTTGGAAGTAAAGCTCTCCTCAGCAAATGTAAAAGAACAGAAATTATAACAAACTATCTCTCAGACCACAGTGCAATCAAACTAGAACTCAGGATTAAGAATCTCACTCAAAACTGCTCAACTACATGGAAACTGAACAACCTGCTCCTGAATGATTACTGGGTACATAACGAAATGAAGGCAGAAATAAAGATATTCTTTGAAACCAACGAGAACAAAGACACAACATACCAGAATCTCTGGGATGCATTCAAAGCAGTGTGTAGAGGGAAATTTGTAGCACTAAATGCCCACAAGAGAAAGCAGGAAAGATCCAAAATTGACACCCTAACATCATAATTAAAAGAACTAGAAAAGCAAGAGCAAACACATTCAAAAGCTAGCAGAAGGCAAGAAATAACTAAAATCAGGCAGAACTGAAGGAGATAGAGACACAAAAAAACCCTTCAAAAAATTAATGAATCCAGGAGCTGGTTTTTTGAAAGGATCAACAAAATTGATAGACTGCTAGCAAGACTAATAAATAAAAAAAGAGAGAAGAATCAGATAGACACAATAAAAAATGATAAAGGGGATATCACCACCGATCCCAGAGAAATACAAACTACCATCAGAGAATACTACAAACACCTCTACGCAAATAAACTAGAAAATCTAGAAGAAATGGATAAATTCCTCGACACATACACTCTCCCAAGACTAAACCAGGAAGATGTTGAATCTCTGAATAGACGAATAACAGGATCTCAAATTGTGGAAATAATCAATGGCTTACCAACCAAAAAGAGTCCAGGACCAGATGGACTGACAGCCGAATTCTACCAGAGGTACAAGGAGGAACTGGTACCATGCCTTCTGTAACTATTCCAATCAATAGAAAAAGAGGGAATCCTCCCTAACTCATTTTATGAGGCCAGCATCATCCTGATACCAAAGCCGGGCAGAGACACAACCAAAAAAGAGAATTTTAGACCAATATCCTTGATGAACATTGATGCAAAAATCCTCAATAAAATACTGGCAAACCAAATCCAGCAGCACATCAAAAAGCTTGTCCACCATGATCAAGTGGGCTTCATCCCTGGGATGCAAGGCTGGTTCAGTATACCCAAATCAATAAATGTAGTCCAGCATAAACAGAACCAAAGACAAAAACCACATGATTATCTCAATAGATGCAGAAAAGGCCTTTGACAAAATTCAACAACACTTCATGCTAAAAACTCTCAATAAATTAGGTATTGATGGGACATATCTCAAAATAATAACAGCTATCTATGACAAACCCACAGCCAATATCATACTGAATGGGCAAAAACTAGAAGAGTTCCCTTTGAAAACTGGCACAAGACAGAGATGCCCTCTCTCACCACTCCTATTCAACATAGTCTTGGAAGTTCTGGCCAGGGCAATTAGGCAGGAGAAGGAAATAAAGGGTATTCAATTAGGAAAAGAGGAAGTCAAATTGTCCCTGTTTGCAGACGACATGATTGTATATCTAGAAAACCCCATTGTCTCAGCCCAAAATCTCTTTAAGCTGATAAGCAACTTCAGCAAAGTCTCAGGATACAAAATCAATGTACAAAAATCACAAGCATTCTTATACACCAACAACAGACAGAGAGCCAAATCATGAGTGAACTCCCATTCACAATTGCTTCAAAGAGAATAAAATACCTAGGAATCCAACTTACAAGGGATGTGAAGGACCTCTTCAAGGAGAACTACAAACCACAGCTCAATGAAATAAAAGAGGATACAAACAAATGGAAGAACATTCCATGCTCATGGGTAGGAAGAATCAATATCATGAAAATGGCCATACTGCCCAAGGTAAGAAAATATTTTTAACTTCTAAACTTGTATTATTGTGTCATAAAGGTATAAAATTTTCAGGAGATAAGGTTGCAGAAATAATAACAAAAGTTCTTCAACAGTCAGCAGGGTAGAAGCCCTTTGAACATCAGATGGTCTATTTGTTTTATCTCAGATTTCTACTGTGTGTAGTGATTGTTTCATATTTTGCTCTCATCTGTAGCCAACTAATTAAAACTATTTTTAAATGATATCATTTCAACTAAAAAAATATTAAGAGTCCTCAAATTTGGCACTAACTTTGTCACAGGTATAATCTGGCCATTAACTATGACTATAAGAAATAGTTTAATTAATTTAATCTTTATAAGGACAACCCTTAACATTCCCAATAGATGCATTCCAAATTATTTGCAAGTATTTTGGCACTTTTGGCATTTGGACAGGATAATTCTTTGTTGGGAGGAAATATCTGGCTAGACATACTAGATGCAAGTAGAATTCCCTCCAGTGTAACAACCAAAAATTTATTTATGCATTGTCAAATGCAAAGGTGCAATCAGTTGAGAACCATTGCCCTATAAGTTTAAAAATAATTCTTTATAATAATGTGTAATTGTTTAAATTAAATGACTCTTGTATGTCCTATAGTAAGTAGACAATATCCAGCCCATCTTAAAATTTCTAAGAGTTTGTATTCAGCCAGTTTTACAAGACAATCATCTAAATTCATCTGGAAGACATACTAGATGTAACTCACTTTTCCCTTTAAAATCATTTCTATGACTATTTCCCATTTACTACATGCTATTATAATTATACACTGAAAACAAAATTATTTATCTGAAAAATCATGAAGAATAAGTTATTAGAAGCATCCAAAGTATTTTAAATGATGCCATTATGTATCCCTTAGCAGACATAGGATGTACCTGAACTCTGCCTCACTGCTCAGTTATGTCATCGGACACGCAGGCTTTTTCGGTTTCTTTGCTTGCCATGGTGAGTGTGTTGGCTTTTATCCTCATGACTTGTCAAAAGATGGCTGCTGCATCTGATTCACATTCAAGGAAGGCAAATAGAAGAGGTAAGGGACTATGCCAGGCACATCTGTCTTCTTTTACAAGGTAATTAAGTACCTTCTCAGAAACACCATCAGAAAATTTCTGTGTAAATCTTATTTGCCTAACTTAGATCCTTTGGCTGCCCTTGCTGCAAGGGATATTGGGAAATTAAGCAAGAGTGAGAAACAAGATTATTATTCCTGCCTAAGACTAATAATGGTCCATTACCTGAAGTGAACACATCACTGCTTTATTTCCAAATTCAACTTACATTATCCAGGAAGAAAGAAAAAATGACATTTGTAGCAATTAGCTACACATGATAAGACTAATAACTACATCACCACCACCAATAATAATAATGAGCAGATATTATCAAATATTTATTAAATGCTTATGATGTAACAACCATGCTTCTAACAAAAGTTCAAGTTAGGCACTGCTATTAACTTTATTTAACAAAGAAGGAAGGTAGAAACCTTAGTAGTTAAGTAACTTGTCCAAGATTATACAATTGGTCAGTTCGAAATTCTTCGAATGTCTGTTGAGCAAAGGTTATTTTATAAAGTACTGTCTTTGGCACTTCATCATAAATAAATTCTTCAATTGTTATTTAGCTGGTAATAAACTGTTAAGTAACATTTATTTAAGTGGGTACATGTTTTACTCTTTGCGTCAGTAAAAATAAATGTATGTATCAGGAAAAGAGATGTAAAGAATGTAAATATACAACCAATAAACAATATCCAATTACAATGTAAAGCACATACATACTTATTAACATTATTTGGAAATAATTTTGGAGTTTTTTAATTAAATGGATTAAAGTAGGAAAAACTATATTAGTTCTTAAAGATTGGCATCATGGGTTGTTGTACACAGCTGGAAAACTGCTGTATTATACTTTATGCATATAATTAGTGATTAAATGTGAGACAAGTAATAGACACCATTTGTGTCATTGGAGCAATCCAAAATATTATGAATAAAATTCTTGTGAATTTTAGGGAAAGAAATATAAATGCAAGACAAAGAAAGAACTATCTTTGGCAGCATAGAACACTGAATTGGAGTAAAAGATCTTTTGGAAATAAAGATATTTTGCCAAAATGAGGAGGGCTAGCTCTGAGTTTACTCTTATTTTGATAAATGTCTGCTTCCATTGTTCCAATTGTTACTATAGTAGAGTTAATTAATACAAAATCAATTTTGCCAATGGGAATTATAACAAGATTAAAAGATTTGAATGTGACATCTTATACTCAGATGGAAAGAAAAATAAAACAAAGCAACCCACAAAATTTGAACATGTGGGATCAGAATGGGAGATCAAGCTGAGACCAATAGGAAGGCAATTCTTATGAAAACCAAAAAGAAATTGCCTATAAGGTCTGTATTAGCCAAATGAGTGACGAAGTATGAAAAAAGCTGATGACATTCAGGGTTGACTGCATAATTTGTGGGACTCAGTGCCAAATGAAAATGTGACACCATTTGTTCAAAATGCAGAAAAATATTTACATAAGGGATACTAAAAATCTAAAAATGTTTTTCCTTTCTTCTGTGGCCTCTTCCATGACTTGTTATGAGGTGTGTGTGTATGTTTAAATTTGCTCTTTGAAGTTGCTTTACGTAAAAAAAAATAAAAATTTTATTCATTAGCATGAACTTTGCCACCCACATTTATATTGTGTAATGCCAGTTTTAAATGCAAATGTAAAACTGTTAACCATTTAAGTAGAATCACTGGAATTATACAATTTGTATTTTATACTTTGTACATGCATGTATATTTTGCTGTTAACAGGCAGTTGAAAACACTGCATAAAACTAACTCGGTTATTTTTATTTCAGTTCTTGATATGCACACATTCTAACAATACTGTCTACCTCAGGCTTACTATTGAGTACAGAAGGAAAGAAAAAGTAACTATGAGTAGCTCCTTCTCTTTTCTTCTATATCATTTTCTTCTATATCATTTTTATTGTAGCTGGTTGGCAAATACCTTAAAGTAATGAGTAAGAAAGAATATGGCAGAGTTTCATGGTGGTTTATTTTCTTAGAATGTCATTGCCTTCTTTGTGCATTTGAATCAAGTTCTGGTTCAAATGGAAATGTAGCCTCTCAGGATTGCCTGTGCTCCTGCTTACTCAGTCATGATGTAACAGGCATTCATTGATTTGCTTTGTGTCTCCCTGAACTGCTCCACACTCTGAGTCCACAATATTTCTGTGCTCACATGGGCATAATGAATACTCTATGGGAATGAAGAAGCAAGGAATGGCAGGAACACATTTTCCATATATGTGTCTCCCCTGCCTGCACACATACTCCATTATCCCACCAGACTTCACTTGCAAAACACAAATTCAAACATAAAATTATTAAGAATTTGAAGACATTCTCAGCAGAGCAATAAATCAAGTGTGGGGCTCTTCCGAGCACAGGACTCAGTGCGACCACCAGATCTTATGACAACGAAGCCACCTTTGATGACATTTTAGCCTAAGGAACTTTTAAAAATAGTATTCAGATCAAGAAACAAAATAGAAAGAGAAGCTAAACCTCTTTGGATTGTAATCGGTTTATTTTAAAATTTTTAATAACTTTTGAATGTTAACAGTCAACTCTTCTCAACTGGAGATCTTAACTACAGGCTATTTTTTTTTCTTTGAAGTGACTTTACAAAGTTCTGCTCTAGTCCAACACATGCAGATATATACTTAAGTTATCAAAAGAATTATTATTTCCAAAAAGTTGTGAGTAGGGGCAGAGTGGGGTTCAGTGTTGTGCCTTATATCACCTTCCAATTTTAGGAGTTCCTATTTCTTCATTTCTACTTTTCAATATTCTACTTATCACTGTGTTTTTTAAAGCTTTAAAAATGTCATTTACCATCATAATTTTTTAAATGGATATGGAATCAGTGTCCAAAGCACATGAAACATCCAGGATTAGCATTCAAAAATGCATGATTCTCCTTTGTGCCTCTTGCCACAGAAACATGCTGCTTAAATCTGCAACTCTACTGATAGTGATAAACCATTCTGAAACATTTATGAAGAGCAGCAGTTATGTTGCCTTTGAATAGCATATGAGACACTTGATTGGCCTCCATTGAACTAATTTAATAATTTAAATGTTATCTTCCTGTTGTTAGCTTTTATTGTAGCAGTATTAATCTATAGAATATCTATATAATCAATTTTTCCCCTACTTTCACCACTCCTTCCCTGGGGTGGCACTAGAGAGAATGGCTAACATTTTTTTAGGATCATTACCCACAGGGTTTCAATGTATATAAAAAGTTTTTCCTGCTTTTGAATGTAGCATTAAGATGGAAGTCATGGGGAGAAAAAATAGTGCCTCTGTGTTTTATATTTAGGAATGGTTGTGAACATTTTACCCTGCAAATAAAACACTAATAAAAAAGTCACCAATGGAGACCATCCTGGCCAACATGGTGAAACCCCATCTCTACTAAAAATACAAAAATTAGCTGGGCCTGGTGGCAGACACCTGTAGTCCCAGCTACTCAGGAGGCTGAGGCAGGAGAATTGCTTGAACCTGGGAGGCAGAGGTTGCAGTTAGCCGAGATGGCACCACTGCACTCCAGACTGGGCAACAGAGTGAGACTCCATCTTAAAAAAAAAGGCACCTATGGAAATTGGAACACTTAATATCTTTCATTTAGATGTAAATAGTGTATAAATGTGAAAGAGATAAAAAGGTACTTGTTTTCTACATTAGTATCTAAATATATCTAAAATAAGTTTACTATACATTTAACTAAAGACAACTGTTACACATATCTCATGAAAATATATGGTGTAATTAGCACGTAAAAATTGATTTTTATTTCTCATGGAAATTTAGATCCAATGGAAGAATATGAGATAGGCTACATAATAAAAGAGACGAGTAGATCCAGAAATTGAAAAGAATAGGAACCACTGTCAGGATAAGTTAATTCCAAACATTTTCGATCTTTGGGTCCCATGCCACACTTTGCTTGGAATAGATGCAATATCTTCCCTATTTTTCCTCCCCACTCTTCTCCTTAGGGAAAGAATCCTTAGGTCAGGTGGCTAAGCCAACTCTATCAGTCAGGGTTCCTAAAGGAAACAGAACAAATAGCAATAAGTGTATATAGAGCAATCATTTTTTATACACATACATACGTTTCACACACATATATATATACACATATACATACACATACATGTCTATACATATATACACACATATATCTCAAATATATTGATTTATTCAAAGAAACTGGCTCATGTAATTGTGGGCACTGAGCTGGTAAATTCAAAATCTGTAGGGCAGATCAGCAGGCTGAAAACACAGGTATGAATTTTTCTTGCTGTCTTGAGTTTGAAGTTTGTAGGGCAGGCTGGCAGGCTGGAAACATGAGCAGGATATCCACCTTAAAATCTTGATACATAATTTTTTCTTTTTCAGGAAAGTTAAGTTTTTGCTCTTAAGGACTTCAACTGGTTGGATGAGGCCCAAAGAAATTATCAAGATTAATCTGCTTTACTTAAAGTCAACTGACTGTATATGTTAACCACATCTACAAAATAGCTTCACAGCAACACCTAGATTAGTATTTGATTAAGTTACTGGGTACTAATGCCTTCCGTTGACACATAAAATTAAACATCACACCAACTTCAGCGAAAGGAGCTTATGGTTTATGATAATGATATACTAGCCCTGGAATTAGGACAGCATAGCTGCAGGAAGCAAGACAGGACTAAAGAGCCTCATTATACCTAGGTCCTTTCCAAATTCAACATGATCTCTTAATGATACGGTGAATAGCAATTGCTTTGCACATTGGCTGGAACTTTGTAATTGCCCAAAATTATGAATTAGTATTTAACTATTTTAAATCCTGGGAAGCCTTTGAAATATCCAGGCAATAATAAGCAGTTGGATGTAGGGCTCTAGAGCTGCTACCAAGACATTAATTAAATCAGTTAGAGCAGCTTCCTCTATGATTTGGACTGGAAAATATGAAACATGGAAAGGATAATTTTGTTATAATGAGGGAATAATGGAGCAGACATACATATAGAAGCAATGATAATGTTATCTGGGTTGGGGATTTAGAGAGGGGTGTACCAGAAAAATATAGAATTGAGGAACTATTAGTAGGAATTCGTAATCCTAACCTCTCCATTCCCCCCACCTCTTCTATGCATTAGATTAAGAAATGTGGCATAATCTTCCTCAGTCTGTCTCTCTATCCCCTCTACCCCTACCAGAATAATAATTCTACAACAAAAGGGTACCCGTGTCATCCCCCAGTTTAAAACTCACCATGACTATCCATAATTCTTTTCCAAATTTCATAACGTGTGATGTCTATAGCTGTCAGATCCTTGCCTACTCCTGTGATTTAATTTCTAGTCATTTCCCTCAACTTTTGCATTCTATTCTTAATACATATCGAACACACTTCCATTTCTGCAAATTTGCCTGATCTCTTTAGCCTCTGAACTTTTCAACACCCTTGTATTTATTTCCAATGCCCGACTAAAGTTAAACTGCTGAAAAGTAGCAACCACCCATACTCTTTTTTGTTATCTGTTTGCCCAGCACAGCACAAGACACATACAGATGCATAATCGTACCCACTCTCCCCTTCAGATTCCAAATTCTTTAAGCATAGAAAGCACACCTATTTCATCTTTATGCCTCTCACAGCATCATTTGCGAAGTACTTTACACTTAGTTTCCTCAATAAATTGTTGCTGAATTCAGTGAAAGCACTGATAGAACTATAAACCCTTATAATCATTTGAAATAGGGAAATTATATTCCAAGTGTTACAAAATGGGCATAAATGAATCATATGTGTTGATTATATATGGGGACTGAATATGCTATAAAGTGCACATATGGTAGCAAGAACACAACCCTACTGTATTACTAAATGTGAGTCATGTAAAACTAATATGCTTGCAATAAATGTTAATTAAACATTCAACTAACAATTTTCTTGCCCTTTTGAAACTTAGAATGCTTTGAAGGGGATTGTTTGGTCTCTTAAAAGCACTTTCCTGGCAAATTTAAATAGGTACTTTTTTCTCTCCATTTAATTTCTTTCTTTTATCTCTTTTTTTGCATAGAAATTATGCACATCCCCCATATAGTTTTGTTTTGCATTTAGTTTTTTAATTTTAATTTAAAAAAGTTTTAAATTGATACATAATGATTGCACATATTTATGGGGAACATATGATACTGTGATATATATAATGTAGAATGATTGGAGCAGGGTAACGAGCATATCCATCATCTCAACTATTTATCATTTGTTTGTGTTGAAGATGTTCAATATTCTCCTCTAGCTACTGAAACTATAAAACATATTATTATTAACATTTAATTTATTTAAAGTGTACAGAGATTAGCAAAATGATTCTAATGACCTCAATTTTTGGCCCTTTAACTTCACGAAGAGGCTTTGCATGATATTTTGAGAAGCCCCCACATAAAAATACACCATTTCCAGTGCTTTCTTTCAGAAGGCTTTGGGTCTTCTGCCTTTCAACCAGAATTCTGGGTGTGTTCTATATCCTTTGACATGAGTACACACACACACATGCACATACACATGTGCATACACACAATTCCAAAGTGCCCATGATGCAGATCACAGTTATTCCTATGCTTTTGTTTGGGAATAATTTCAGGTCCACTTTCTTAGTAATTTCAGGGGCATATCTTGGGTATCTGGAGCTATCTGAATTACCTAACAGCTCCTCATCATTCCATAAAGACTTTGTATAGAACAAGTCTGTAGATGTGGAAAGCTCAGAAATCATGCCTGTTTTGTTCATTGTTATTTCTCATTCTGAGGACTAAATTCAGTGCATGGTTGGTACTCAATATACTTTTGTTCACTGGAAAATGGGTGCATGAATTTATAAGGTTAAGCATATACATATTCCCTGGTAATATTAGTAGCTGCTAAAGATACTTTGAACAATAGTGGATATGGTATTCGCACACACACTATGTGCACTAATCCTGCGGTAACTAGGGATCATTCATAGGAAGGAAGTGGTATCCAAATAACATTCACTGGCAGTAGAATCCCAGTACACACATGGTACCTGACTTTAGCTGGAGTAGAAATGAATAGGAAAGAAAGGCCATATAATGACAGATGCTTTATTATATCAATTTTAAGATACATCTTTCCCCATAGTTTAGCCCATGAAGAATAATAATTCATATTAAAATTAATAATATTTATTGAAATCAATGAGGAGATCTGAAGGAATGAAAATTTGCTCCTCATTGACTGAGTACAGCAAGGAAGAATGCCTTTGCAAAAATTCTTCAAATACCTTTTACAAGGAAGTAGTTTTATAGCGTATTGAGGGGAACACAGCCCTTCTGATAACAAGCAACAAAAATGCTTAAAATGGCAAGCAAAGTTTCAAGCACTCTAACTTGTGTGTTTTCTTCAAACAGGATGTTTGCCATGAGTGACTTTTTTTTTTAAGAGTCCTGTAGTTTTTTTAAAGAAAGACACTAGTGGTTATTTCTCAATAACTTAGCTTTAACTCAAGGACCAATAAAATTTTCCAGCTGGGGTGAATAAGGCCTGGGGAAAATGTTAAAAGAAGAAGGGATTAAAGATATTTCTGGAAAATACAGTTTCCACATCCTCCTGTCATTGTCAACCAGGTGGCAGTTATGACATAGACATCACTTTCTGCACATAAGCAAATTTGGTCATAGTTGTTCATGTTGCCATTTTAAATGAATTATGCTTGTACTACAGGCATTATGCTTAATTGCCTTTAAAAATGTCTTCAAAAATTATATTATGATTCTGTACTAAAATGAAAAATTATTGTATGTACAGAAAGAAACAGAAACATGCAGTGGGACATATATTTGATAGTCCAGAAACAAATATCTATCCTAAAAGCAATGAAAGAAATTTTAAAATTTTCTTGGAAATCAAAAATAAAGTTATTTGTTGGAGTTAAGAAAGAAAGACTCCACAGGGAGAAAAAGATGTGTTATCTTTTGCTTCTATTGACTATTACATGCCAAGCAAGAAAGCGCCAGCAGCAAATTTTGCAGAACAGGTGTCAGCAGCTTGTGAGAAAATCCCAGAGACTATAGTGGAGCACTTTTAAAAGAAATTCTGGCTTCATCACTAATGCTCTTTATGGCACAGAGGACCATTTTTAGTGATAAAACACAGATAAGTATTGAAACCCCTGGATTTGAAAGGATGCAGAAAAGTTGCAGTCTAAATGTGGAATTGTTTAGGAATATATTAAGAAATTTATTTCACCAATTTAAAAATATACACAAATTTGATGATGGTAAATCATCTACAATAAAAAGTCTTTAAAAAGCTATTCCAATAATCGTAAGATACATTTCTAAGAAAAAGTATTGCGACAGTTTTACAGGCAGCATTTTTTTCTTTCTTTGTGAGTCATAACAATGTCTTACATTAATCTTGGATTCTGTTTTATATTAATGCTAGCTGGATCCTGAAGTATCTGGAAAGTTCTTTCTGGCATGGGGAAATAAGTGTGCTTCTATACTGTAGAATCTCACCTTCGTGGTAAGGAGAAGAAAGATGGAGGAATTAGAAAAGACTAAAAGACATTTAAAAGAAATGTTCCATACAATCTAAAACAAGAAGATCCCTCTCATTAATGTGGTTAAATGAAGAGTACAAGTTGATCCCCAAAGTACTTTCAGGTTAGAAGTTTAGTCTTGGAACAGCCTATTTTACAAAGTCCATGCTCTTCAGTAGCTTTGGGGGAGACACATGAGGCAAAGAGGGGAGAAGCAAGTATATACTTAGGCAGCTAGATGGTCTAAATCAGCCCCATGTCTTTCTGTGTGACAGAAGTTGCAGCCATGTTAACATTCTTTTCACATTCTAATAACATCTGTTGTTGTGTTGTCCTAGCACTCAGCCAGGGGCAGTCCTGGGTATACCTGACAGCATAATCTGATGCTGCTGCTGGTACGTGGCTATGTGAACCATTCATTTTAAAGTGATAGAATATGTCTATTACAGTGGTTTTACACCCCTTTCAATACCTACGGCAGCAGTGCACGGTGCTATAAAATTAACTTAGACTGACTTTCAGTCTCTACATTTTTCATTTCCTTCTGAGTTGCCACACCCTCCGGGAATCAGACTAGCTCTAAATGACTTAGGCAATGAGGCTTCCATTTCTTCCTGTGGGAAACTAATGTACAGTCTAACAGACTATTAAGAAATTGTTTCTGATATTCAGCCTACATTTTCTTTTCCTTAATTGCATTCCATTACTACATTCTAAACAATTTTTCCTTCTCCTTAAGATCCTACAGATTCTTGTCTAAGGCCATTCCAATTTGGCCAGCCTTTGTAAAATGAATAATTTTTGTTCTTTGCTTCTACTGGAAGTCAAACTTTCTTGTTTTTAGTTTACTTACTTGATATTCTCAAAATTCCTTTGCTGCTGGCTGTTATTAAAATAGTCAAAAGACTACCATTTACAAAGATGTTCTGTCTAGAAAAGCATAGAAAATAGTATTACCTTATTTTGAATGTAAAAATTGAATTAATCTCATACTGGCTGTGTATTACCATCCCAATTTATTTTTAATCAGACAGCCCTATCTAGATCATCTTTTCTACCTATATAGGCTTTTAAAATTGATATTCTTTAAGTATTATTCCCCTAAATTATACACACACACACACACACACACGCACATACATACCACAAGCATTTGAGATGAGAGTCTCATCGCTCTGTCTCCCAGGCTTGAGTGCAGTGGCCAGACCTTGGCTTACTGCAACTTCTGCCTCCCAGGCTCAAGAGATCTGCTCACTTCAGCCTCTCAAGTAGCTGCGACCACAGGCACACACTATCATGCCTGGCTAAGTTTTGTATATTTTGTAGAGATGGGGTTTCACCATGTTGCCTAGGCTGGTCTTCAACTCCTGGGCTCAAGCTATGCACCTACCTTCACCTCCTAAGGTGCTGGGATTATAGGCATGAGCCACCATGCCTGGCTTCTTCATGCCTTTTAGTAGATCTGAATTTATCAATAAACATTAACCAAATAGGCAGCTTAGTTCAATTTTATGAAATAAACAGCTTGCAAAGATCAAAAATACACCTTAAAATGTATTATCACTATCTCAAAACTGCTTATGGCTAGATGTTTTTTTCCTTTTTTGCAATAAAGATATCAAATATTTACATAACATTTTTTAATGTCTAGAATCATTTTCACATCTATTACCTTAGTAAACCCTGATTTTAACTCTATGATTGATTTCTATCTTTGCTTTGATCCCCAAGCGTCAATGGATGGCCATGTTGGGATTATTTCTCTTCCCCACCCTCTCTTCCCCTGCTATCCTCTCACCCACCTAAACACACACTCCTGACAACAAAGTGTTCTTTTCATTATACCGTGTTAATGATACTTTAAATATCATTTACAGAAGTCTAAACTTGAATTTTGGGCCCTACGGATACTGAAATATAGTAAAGTATTCCTAGACTTCATTCATCTTCTAATGTTGAAATAGGAAAAAAAACTAATAAAAGAGACTCATCCACTGCAGGAAAAAGACAAAACAAAACAAGAAAGGAAAGGTTTGTTTATGTGTTGTTGAAAGAACCACAGTTTCTTCAGAATCTTATTAAGAAGAGAGGAGACACTTGAAATATATGCCACCTAGTAATAATATTGTAAGGTGCCAAAGATAAATGTATGTTGATAACTGAAAGGCAATAATCTGACATAAGTCTAAGAAAACTGCCATATAATGAGTATTTTTCTCTCCAATATATAACTTAACTTGGAATATTGACTGCAGCCTTCACAGAGCAAGTATTCCCACCACCCTTTCCCTAGCCTGTCTGATTAACCTCCTTGCACAGCAGTGGGAAAGAATACAAGAGACAAGACCTCATGTGCCATGTTCCCCAGAATGGTCTGAGAGCATTAAAGCAGCATCTTGCAGCCTGATGAAGTATCGGGATCCTTTACAAAAGAACTATTATTCCACATTCATTTATTCTACTCTTCTTGGAGGACAGTACAGTAGGTGGGGAAACATCCTCATAAATGATTTAGTTAGTTCTGAAAAAGCAATTGTGTCTCTCCCCTCTTTCTGTTTCTATAGATGCTGTTATGATAAAGCTTGATGGTAATTGCCTCATTCCAGTTTAGAGATCTATGAAGACTTTGTAAAAAACAAAAGTTATCCTATTACACTTTGTGATGTTTGGCATTTTAAGTCATATAGCTGTACATTGCAAATTCTGATCCTGAGTATAAGAATTGATAAATAAAATGTTAAGTGTATAATGGAGACACTTAACTTACACAAACCCAGCTGTTTGAATCAGAGAAAAGAGAGAATCAAAAAAGAAAAAGAATAGCATTGCTGACCCGTCTTCTGGCCACAGAGTGATCAGGATAAGGCTTTCTTTGAGTTTTATCTTCCTGCCCTAATGTCTCTCAGCTTGAGCATCTCTCTGTGCCTGGCATTATAGTGAAGTTTCATACCTCCTGACCCTATCTGTCCAATCAACTATGGCTACATTTGCAGGAAAATTCCTCGAGTGACTTAGGTGCATCATTTTCAATTCCTTTCCTCACATTCTGTTTTATAATATTTTTCTTTGAAGTAATGTCAGGCTTACTTACAGAAAAGATTAAGAATATTGTGAAGAGATCTTGTATACCTTTCATCCAAATTCCATAATTGTCTCCTTATTATCATTTACTTTGTTATTTCTCTTTCTTTCTCTCAAATATGTACATTTTATGCATTTTCATAATGATTTGAGATGGCCCTTAGCACCTAATATTTCAACAAATATTTCCTAAAACAAAGATCAGTCTTTTACATAACCACAGTCCAGTTAGCAAAATCAGAAAATCAATATTGATATAATACTATTACACAGTTGACTGACACTCTTTCTATTTTGCTGCTGTTTCAAAAGTGTCATTTAGAGTACTATTACAACAACAACTAATAATAATTCTGGTCACAAATGAAACTGTGGTGAGATTATTTTGTGCAATTTCATTTTCTAATTGTTTGTTGCTAGTAGATAGAAAAACAGTTGTTTTTTGTATACTGATCTTATATACTATAACCAATGTAAACTCATTCATTAGTTCTAATAGTTTTCTGGTAGATTCCATCATTTTTTGTATAAATGACCATTTAATCTTTGACTAAAAATGGCTTTACTTATTTGTTTTCCAAACTGGATGCTTTTTGTTTCTTTTTCTTGCCTTACTACACTGGCCAGAACCTTCAGTACAATGTTGAATAGAAGTGGTGGGAGTGGATATCCTTGTTTTGTTCTAGTTCTTAGGGGAAAAGCATTCAGTCTTTCACGTAAGTATGATACTAGCTGTAGCTTTTCTGTAGATGCCCTTTGTAAGGATGTGGAACTTCCTTTTGTTCTGGGTGTTAACTTATTTGAAAAAAAAAAAGTAATTATGATGTAATTAGGTTAAATATCTTGAAATGACAGCATTATGGATTACCCAGGTGGGCCCTAAATTCAATGACAAGTGTCTATATGAGACAGAAGAGGAGAAGATGCAGACACACAGAGGAGAAGGTGCTGTGAAGACGGAGGCAGATATTCGAGTGATTTGACCACAAGCCAAAAAAGCCAAGGAATGGCAAGTGTCACCCAAACGTGGAAGAGGCAGAGAATAATTTTCCTAAGAACCTCTGGGGAGTGTGGATCTGCTGACAACTTGATTTTGTATTTTTGACCTTCAGACTTGTGAAATAATAAATTTCTATTGTTCTTTGCCACCCAATTTGTGGTGATTTGTTATAGCAGCCATAGGAAAATAATATTCCTTCTATATACCTACCTTGCTGAGAGTTTTTAACAGGAATAGATATTGAATTTATCATTTATTTTTCCTAACTTTGTTAATGTGATGAATTGCACTGATTGATTTTCAAATCAACCAACATTTTTATTCCTGGAATAAAGTCCATTTGGTCCTGTACTATTGAATTCAATTGGAAAAAATTTATTCAGCATGTTTGCCCTATGTTTATAAGGGATATTGGTCAGTAATTGTCTTATGTGGTGTTTGGTTTTGGAACCAAGGTAATGCTGGCTCCATAGAATGAGTCTGAAGTATTCCCTCTTTTAAAGTATGTAAAATAGTGTATATAGATTTGATATTATTTCTTCCCTAAATGTTTGGTAGAATCCACTAGGGAAGGCATCTGAACCTTGCATTTTCTCTGTAGGAAGGTTTTTAGTAAAAATGAACATTTATAAATAGATACAGGGTTATTCATATTAGGTATTTCTTCTTAAATGAGCTTTGGTGGGTTTTTTTTCTCTTCAAAGAATTTGCCCGTTTCATCTGAATTTTTGCATTTATTATCATAAAGTTTTCCATAATACCTCTTTGTTATACCTTTAATGAAGGTATTTAGTAAAAATGAACATTTCAAAATAGATATAGGGTTATTTATATTAGGTATTTCTTCCTAAATATATAGAATCTGTGGTAATATAATTTCTCTCATTCCTGCAATTGGCAATTTGTAACTTCTTTTTTTCTTAATAAGTCTAGTTAACGGGTGCAGCACACCAGCATGGCACATGTATACATATGTAACTAACCTGCACATTGTGCACATGTACCCTAAAACTTAAAGTATAATAATAATAATAATAATAATAATAATAATATCTGGCTAAAAGTTTATCCTTTCTTAATATTATCAAATAACCAGCTATTGGTTCCATTTATTGTCTATGTTTTTTCTCTTTTCTATTTCATTAATTTCCAGACTCTAATCTTTATCATTTCCCTTCCTCACATTTCAGAGATATTTCTGCATATTTCTTTCTTATTTTCCAATTTTTTTAGGTAGAAGCTGAGGTCTTTGTCTTGAAGCTTTTCTTCCTTTCCAGTACAAGTATTTAGTGCTATAAATGTTCCCCAAATACTTTTTTGGAAACATGGCACAAATTTTGATAGGCAGTATTCTCATTTGAACTGAATAGTCCAAAACACTTTCTAAATTTTATTTGATTTCTTTGACCCATGGATTATATATAATGCATTATGTCATTTCCAAATATTTGGGGTAATTTCCTAGAGAACTTCCTGTTATGTATTTCTAATTTAGTTGCTTTGAAAATTTATTATGTATGACTTAAATTATTTAAATGAATTGACACTTGTTAAATAGTGCAAAATGTGGTCTATCTTTGCAAGTGTTCTATGTGCACTTGAAAAGAATGTTTATTCTGCTTTTATTGGTTTGAGTATTTTATAAATGTTAAGCTGGTTAATAGTGTAGTTCAAATCTTCTATATCCTTACTAATTTATGACTACAGGTTCTATCAATTTTTAGAGGGTTTGGTTTGGAAATCACTGACTAATATTGTGTTTTTAAATTACCCTTTGCAATTCTGTCTGTTCTTTCTTCTCTTTTGAAGCTCTGTTATTAGATGCATAAACATTGACAATTTATGTCCATAATAAGCTGATCTCAAGTTTGATCAGTTACTACAATTCTTCTTTTATAAAATCAATTATTTTAACTTTCCATTTTGTAAATTTGCAAACATACACCAAATCAGAGAGAAAATGAATATTATGTACCCATCTCTCAGTTTCCATAACTATTAACGTTTGTCATATTTGTTTCCATACTGGATGCACTCTCTCCTTTTTTGCTTAAATATTTTATTGCAAATCCCAGCTACCAAGATACTGAGATAAGCTTTAGAGTAAAAAACACATTCTTATATTACTGCAATTCTATTGTCACACAGAATTCTCTAACAGAAATTGCATAACATGACGTAAATGCAATTCATATTCAAATTATCTCAGTTGTTAAAAAATGTGTGTGTGAGTATAAACTGAAACATCATGGATTTTAGTTTGTTTGTTGTTTTGGCTTGTGAGGATCAGATCCAAATAAAGTCTTCTCAATATATTTGGTTCTATGTCTTTTAAGTAAAGTGGTCATATAATCTGTAGCCCTACCCTAAATGCCTCTGAGCTAAAAGGGAGAATAAATAACAATCACATTGTGGTAACAAGAGTAAACCATGACTGTCCCAGCCAACTGGTAAATATGCTCACCTACACTTGTCTTTCTAAAATTACTTGTGATCTACTCTCACCTTTTCTTAATGCCATTGGAGAAACGGTTCAGTTTTTCCTACAAAGTATCTTCATTCTGGATTTGACTGATTGTTTCCTGTCGATATAATTTAACTTGTGCCTCTATCCCCTATATTTTCAATAGACTGCAAATTAGATCTAAAGATTTGATCAGATTCAGGTTTTTTGGGTGTACATGGGTGTGTGTGCAAGAGAAAGAGAAGAATACTTCAAGGGTCATTCTGTGTTTTTCCTGTTGCATCATTATATAAAAAGCGCATGATGTCTAAGAACCTCACTCTTAGTGATAACAAAGTTGATCCATGGTGACAACATGATCTCTTCACTGAAAAGTTCCCCATCAACTTTCACTAGTAGACTTATTATCTATTAATGATCATAGTCTGAATCATTTATTTTATTAGTAATTATATTAGCTTGTTTTCACACTGCTATGAAGATATTACCTGAAACTGTATAATTTATAAACAGAACAGGTTTAACTGACTCACAGTTCTACATGGCTGGGGAGGCCTCAGGAAACTTACAATCATGGCAGAAGGTGAAGGGAAAGTAGGCATCCTCTTCACAGGGCAGCAGGAGAGAGAGCAAAGGGGGAACTGCTGTACACTCTTCAAACCATCAGCTCTTGTGATAATTCACTCACTGTCATGAGACCAGCATGGGGGAAACTGCCCCCAGTTTCCAATCACCTCCCACCAGGTCCCTCCCTTGAACGTGGGGATTACAATTGACATTTGGGTGGGGACACTGAGCCAAACCATATTAGTAATCACAAAATTGTTATTTTTTATAATTTCATTATTCTTTTTGTGGCAATTAGCTGGAGAGTTTAGGCATTGAAAAATGTATCTACTAAGTGTATTTAATTATCCTGAAATACAGGTTACATTGTAAGGGTAGGATAAATGCTATTTCTTTTGTTAATGATCTATTTTCAGGATAATAAGTGGGTGCTCTGGCAACTTTCCATGAGTTACAATGTCTTTTATCTCTGTTTTTTTTATTGTTTTGTTTTATTATCATTATTTGTGACTTTAAAATATATTCAACATATTTAAAATAGCTTGCAGCTATTATTCATTTTGATGTATACCTCTAGCCATCCCTTTTGTTTTTAAAATTTAATAATCTTTTATTTATGTTTCTTGCTGCAGCAATAAAATTGAATATTGCTTTGTTAGCCAAACTAACATTCTCTTTTTAAGAAGTGAGTTAATCAATTTGTATTTATTGAAATTACCAATGTATTGCTCTATCTTCTATATTTATAACTTTCTCTTGAAACATTTTTACCTTACTTTGTTGTTGTTATTGTTCTCATTGTTGTTCATTAAATGTGCATTCCTCTATTCTGTACCTTAATTCCTGTACTACACTTTTTCTTGTGTGCAACTATTTTTTCTTGTGTTTCTTCTATTTTAAAGTTCATTTCTAAAATGTCTTTCTTTTACATTTATCTAGTTCATTACTAATTCCTTTCCATTCTCTTTACAGATTCTATTATTGCTTAGTTACCTCTCTTCAGAGCTGTTCTATTACTGATTTATGCTTTTCTCACAAAGCTTTGACCATTTAAAACATTTTCTAGAATATCTAAAAATCTGAAAGTATCGATTTTGTCTTCTTCATCGCTATGGTTATTGGGTGTGTTTTCATTATTTGTTGGGACATTATTTGGTTTATTTATATATTGTCTTACAATTTATTTATGTGGAATTGGATTATAAATTTTTTTTCTGTGTTTAAATGAAGTTGAGTTTCTTTTAATTATTCAGATAATATTTCTACATGAAGAGCAGAGAAAAGCCAAAGTTGCTTTTACAAATTCATGGCTCAAGAGCTCCTTCCTCTGTTGTTACCCTGATCTATTCAGAAATATAGTTTCTTTTTGGTTTTTGAGGCTAAGCTTGATTCAGAAAGTTGTCCTGCCTCTACCTCTGAAACATTCAGAGCTTTGTGGCCTTCTGCAGGGTGCTCTTACCTTCAAAAATTATATTTTGTGGTTATGGTATATTCAGAGGTCTTTCTCTGCTAGTCCCTTCCCCAGCAGTTTGCTCAATTTAGATTCTGTTCTTAATAGTCTTTTCTTCAGTTTCTTCTGTATCCTTCTAAAACCAAGATTTTATTGAATGCTTTGAGATTTTTAAGGCTTAGGCTGCTTCCCACTCCATGTGATTCTTGTAGCTTTGCCCTCTCATCTGCAGTTTAGAGTCTGTGAATAATTTTATGTTTCTCTGGTTCTTTTTTATTTTCCTAGCCTCCTGTGTTGAGTGTTTGCTACATCCTTCTGTATTCTGACGTATGTGGCAATTCTGGTCATCAAGCTTTGTTGAACACATCATGCATGAGCTTTGTTTATATTAACTGATATGGTTTGGCTCTGTAACGCCACCCAAATCTCAGATCGAATTGCTATCCTCAATGTTGGAAGAGGGGCCTGGTTGGAGGTGATTGGATATGGGGGTGAACTTCCCCCTTGCTGTTCTCATGATATTGAGTGAGTTTTCATGAGATCTGACCATTTAAAAGTGTGTAGCACTTTCCCCACAGCTCTCTTCCTCCTGCTCTGGCTGTATGAAGACGTGCCTGCTTCCCCTCCACCTTCTGCCATGACTGTAAGTTTCCTAAGGCTTCCCAGCCATGCTTCCTGTACAGCCTGTGGAACTGTGAGTCAATTAAAACTCTTTTCTTCATAAATTACCCAGTCTCAGGTAGTTTTTGTATAGTAGTGTGAGAATGGACTAAAACACTAATCTAGTTGATTTGACTGGTTTTTGTAAGGGGATTGATGTGTTAAATGTCACTACCATCACATTCTTTTTGTCAGAGTCAACTTATGTGCTTTTTAATTTAAATGATGTGCCTGGTCCATAGAAGAAAAACTATGGCATCCCAGAATTTGATGATGAGTTCAGAAAAAAATTGCCTTCAGAAGCAAAAATTCACTAAAGTAAATACATAATATTGAAGATTAGTTGTTTAATCCAATCAGAGTAATTTGTTAATGGCTTTTGAGGTGTGTGTGTGGGGGTAGCTTTTATCAGTATCAGTATTTGTTTTTCTATTCATTAAACACACTTCCTCTTCAAACAACCATAGACCATACTTCTGAAGTAGACAGCTCTGTTTTGGCATGCTATCTGCAGTCATGAAACAAGATAAAGATCATTGGTCTGACCTTTGGCCTCATTAGACAATAAAATTGGACTGATTGACAAAACTCAATAAAGAATAGATTTAAGCACAGTGCTAATGAGGCCATGATCACAAATTTTACACAGGACCACTGATTTTATTTTATCTTATGGCCACAGGATGTTCCCCAACACTCAAAGTGTTTCCTCTTGGCCATAAAAAAAAGCCTGCATAATGAGCAGGAACAGACCACAGCAAATCCATCACATCTACTGGAAACATGCCCAGTTATTGGCCAAATTATTGGCCATCTTCATCTATAAGAAACAATGCAAATTCAAAGGATACTAGCAGATAAAGTGAAGTCAGCTCCAAAGCCATTCACTGTGAGAAAGAACCAAGTACAACTTGTCTGTGAGTCAGCCCAGGCACAATTCCTCTGTACCTTCTGACTCAAAGTGGCATGCATCAGTCAGCAGCATTGACTCCACTTGGGAGTTGGTTAGAAATGCAGAATCTAAATTCCTTTCCAGACCTACTGAAACAGAATCTGAATTTAGCAAGATTCCGTGTTTGGTATGTTTGCATATTCAAGTTTCAGAAGCACTGGGTTAGACCCCAAAATTTGTAGCATCAACTCTTACATCTATTATAACATCTCTAGGATTGTTGTATTGTTACACATAAGAGTAAATAAATATCTTCCTGGAACAGCAGTCAACATTCTTCACTTAATGAGTATGATAGCATCTCATGAAATTGTAATAAAATTAAAAACAGATGACTACTCTTTTCTTGAGATGGCATCTTGCTGTGTTGCCCAGGCTTACCTACAACTCCTATGTTCAAGGGATCCTCCTGCCTTAGCCTCCCAAGGAGTTGGGATTAAAAATTGATGACCAATTTTAAAATTCAGTATCCTGTTTCTATTAGCCCTGTTTTCTCTTGCACTGTGCATACACGCTCCAATTTTTATCTGTGCATCTGCCTTCCCTTAGTTTTATATTGAAGTAAGAGAATTTTTAAATCTCAACTATGTTTTCTCCTAATACCACAAGACTTAAGAAAACAATTGTCAAAAGGCTTAGCTTAATCCATCACATAATTCCTTTAAGTATCTAGATAGACTGTGGAGCCACTGATAACTATATTTTACTTAATATACTTAGTTATCTAGTGTATCATCTGTATTATTATACTTTAAGTTTTAGGGTACATGTGCACATTGTGCAGGTTAGTTACATATGTATACATGTGCCATGCTGGTGCACTGCACCCACTAACTCGTCATTTAGCATTAGGTATATCTCCCAATGCTATCCCTCCCCCCTCCCCCCACCCCACAACAGTCCCCAGAGTGTGATGTTCCCCTTCCTGTGTCCATGTGATCTCATTGTTCAATTCCCACCTATGAGTGAGAATATGCGGTGTTTGGTTTTTTGTTCTTGCGATAGTTTACTGAGAGTGATGATTTCCAATTTCATCCATGTCCCTACAAAGGACATGAACTCATCATTTTTGATGGCTGCATAGTATTCCATGGTGTATATGTGCCACATTTTCTTAATCCAGTCTATCATTGTTGGACATTTGGGTTGATTCCAAGTCTTTGTTATTGTGAATAATGCCTCAATAAACATATGTGTGCATGTGTCTTTATAGCAACATGATTTATAATCCTTTGGGTATATACCCAGGAATGGGATGGCTGGGTCAAATGGTATTTCTAGTTCTGGATCCCCGAGGAATCACCACACTGACTTCCACAATGGTTGAACTAGTTTACAGTCCCACCAACAGTGTAAAAGTGTTCCTATTTCTCCACATCCTCTCCAGCACCTGTTGTTTTCTGACTTTTTAATGATTGCCATTCTAACTGGTGGGAGATGGATTCATTAAGTTTTTGAAGGGTTTTTTGTGTCTCTATTTCCTTCAGTTCTGCTCTGATTTTAATTATTTCTTGCCTTCTGCTAGCTTTTGAATGTGTTTGCTCTTGCTTTTCTAGTTCTTTTAATTGTGACGTTAGGGTGTAAATTTTGGATCTTTCCTGCTTTCTCTTGTGGGCATTTAGTGCTATAAATTTCCCTCTACACACTGCTTTGAATGCGTCCCAGAGATTCTGGTATGTTGTGTCTTTGTTCTCACTGGTTTCAAAGAACATCTTTATTTCTGCCTTCATTTCGTTATGTACCCAGTAGTCATTCAGGAACAGGTTGTTCAGCTTCCATGTAATTGAGTGGTTTTGAGTGAGATTCTTAATCCTGAGTTCTAGTTTGATTGCACTGTGGTCTGAGAGACAGTTTGTTATAATTTCTATTCTTTCACATTTGCTGAGGAGTGCTTTACTTCCAAGTATGTGGTCAACTTTGGAATAGGTGTGGTGTGGTGCTGAAAAAAATGTATATTCTATTGATTTGGGGTGGAGAGTTCTGTAGATGTCTATTAGGTCCACTTGGTGCAGAGCTGAGTTTAATTCCTGGGTATCCTTGTTAACTTTCTGTTTCGTTGATCTGTCTAATGTTGATAGCGGGATGTTAATGTCTCCCGTTATTATTGTGTGGGAGTCTAAGTCTCTTTGTAGATCTCTAAGGACTTGCTTTATGAATCTGGGTGCTCCTGTATTAGGTGCATATATATTTAGGATAGTTAGCTCTTCTTGTTGATTTGATCCCTTTACCATTATGTAATGGCCTTCGTTGTCTCTTTTGATCTTTGTTGGTTTAAAGTTTGTTTTATCAGAGACTAGGATTGTAACCGCTGCCTTTTTTTGTTTTCCATTTGCTTGGTAAATCTTCCTCCATCCCTTTATTTTTAACCTATGTGTGTCTCTGGACGTGAGATGGGTTGATGGGTCTTGACTCCTTATCCAATTTGCCAGTCTGTGTCTTATAATTAGAGCATTTAGCCCATTTACATTTAAAGTTAATATTGTTATGTGTGAATTTGGTCCTGTCAGTATGATGTTAGCTGGTTATTTTGCTAGTTAGTTGATGCAGTTTCTTCCTACCCTTGATGGTCTTTACAATTTGGCATTCTTTTGCAGTGGCTGGTACTGGTTGTTCCTTTCCATGTTTAGTGCTTCCTTCAGGAGCTCTTTTAGGGCAGGCCTGGTGGTGACAAAATCTCTCAGCATTTGCCTGTCTGTAAAGGATTTTATTTCTCCTTCACTTAGGAAGCTTAGGTTGGCTTGATGTGAAATTCTGGTTTGAAAATTATTTTCTTTAAGAATGTTGAGTATTGGCCCCCACCGTCTTCTGGCTTGTAGAGTTTCTGCTGAAAGATACGCTGTTAGTCTGATGGGCTTCCTTTTGTGGGTAACCCGACCTTTCTCTGTGGCTGCCCTTAATATTTTTTCCTTCATTTCAACTTTGGTGAATCTCACAATTTTGTGTCTTGGAGTTGCTCTTCTCGAGGAGTATCTTTTTGGTATTCTCTGTATTTCCTGAATCTGAATTTTGGCTTACCTTGCTAGATTGGGGAAGTTCTCCTGGATAATATCCTGCAGAGTGTTTTCCAACTTGGTTCCATTCTCCCAATCACTTTCAGGTACACCAATCAGACGTAGATTTGTTCTTTTCACATAGTCCCATATTTCTTGGAGGCTTTGTTCATTTCTTTTTATTCTGTTTTCTCTAAACTTCCCTTCTTGCTTCATTTCATTCATTTTGTCTTCCATCACTGATACCCTTTCTTCCAATTGATCGCATCAGCTCCTGAGGCTTCTGCATTCTTCATGTTGTTCTCAAGCCTTGGCTTTCAGCTCCATCAGCTCCTTTAAGGACTTCTCTGCATTCATTATTCTAGGTATCAATTAGTCTAATTTTTTTCAAAGTTTTTAACTTCTTTGCCTTTGGTTTGAATTTCCACCTGTAGCTCGGAGTAGTTTGATCGTCTGAAGCCTTCTTCTCTCAAGTCATCAAAGTCATTCTCCATCCAGCTTTGTTCCATTGCTGGTGAGGAGCTGCATTACTTTGGAGGAGGAGAGGCACTCTGCTTTTTAAAGTTTCCAGTTTTTCTGCTTTGTTTTTTCCCCATCTTTGTGGTTTTATCTACTTTTGGTCTTTGATGATGGTGATGTACAGATGGGTTTTTGGTGTAGATGTCCTTTCTGTTTGTTGGTTTTCCTTCAAGAAACAGGACCCTCAGCTGCAGGTCTGTTGGAGTTTGCTAGAGGTCCACTCCAGACCCTGTTTGCCTGGGTATCAACAGCGGTGGCTGCAGAACAGTGGTGGCTGTAGAACAGCAGTGGCTGTAGAACAGCGGTGGCTGTAGAACAGAGGATATTGGTGATCTTCGAATGCTGCTGCCTTATCGTTCCACTGGAAGTTTTGCCTCAGAGGAGTACCCAGCTGTGTGAGGTGTCAGTCTGCCCCTACTGGGGGGTGCCTCCCAGTTAGGCTTCTTGGGGGTCAGGGACCCACTTGTGGAGACAGTCTGCCCATTCTCAGATCTCCAGCTGTGTGCTGGGAGAACCACTAGTCTCTTCAAAGTTGTCAGACAGGGACATTTTAGTCTGCAGAGGTTACTGCTGTCTTTTTGTTTGTCTGTGCCCTGACCCCAGAGGTGGAGACTACAGAGGCAGACAGGCCTCCTTGAGCTGTGGTGGGCTCCACCCAGTTGGAGCTTTCTGGCTGCGTTGTTTAACTAATCAAGCCTTGGCAATGGCAGGCACCCCTCCCCCAGCCTCGCTGTCACCTTGCAGTTTGATCTCAGACTGCTGTGCTAGCAATCAGTGAGACTCTGTGGGCATAGGACCCTCCAAGCCAGGTGCAAGATATAATCTTCTGGTGTGCCATTTTTTAGCCCGTTGGAAAAGCGCAGTATTAGGGTGGGAGTGACCCAATTTTCCAGGTGCTGTCTGTCACCCCTTTCTTTGACTAGGAAAGGGAACTCCCTGACCCCTTGCCCTTCCCGAGTGAGGCAATGCCCCACCCTGCTTCGGCTCATGCACGGTGTGCTGCACCCACTGTCCTGCACCGACTGTCAGGCACTCCCTACTGAGATGAACCCGGTACCTCAGATGGAAATGCAGAAATCACCCATCTTCTGTGTCACCTCACGCTGGGAGCTGTAGACCAGAGGTGTTCCTATTCGGCCATCTTGGCTCCACACCTAAATGTCTTCTTTTGAGAACTGTCTGTTCATATCCTTCACCCACTTGTTGGTGGGGTTGTTTTTTTCTTGTAAGTTTGTTTGAGTTCATTGTAGATTCTGGATATTAGCCCTTTGTCAGATGAGTAGGTTGCAAAAATTTTCTCCCATTCTGTAGGTTGCCTGTTCACTCTGATGGTGGTTTCTTTTGCTATGCAGAAGCTCTTTAGTTTAATTAGATACCATTTGTCAATTTTGGCTTTTGTTGCCATTGCTTTTGGTCTCTTAGACTTGAAGTCCTTGCTAATGTCTATGTCCTGAATGGTATTGCCTATTTATTCTTCTAGGGTTTTTATGGTTTTACATTGAACATGTAAGTCTTTAATCCATCTTGAATTAATTTTTGTATAAGGTGTAAGGAAGGGAATCTAGTTTCAGCTTTCTACATATGGCTAGCCAGTTTTCCCAGCACCATTTATTAAATAGGGAATCCTTTCCCCATTTCTTGTTTTTATCAGGTTTGCCAAAGATCAGATAGTTGTAGATATGTGGCATTATTTCTGAGGGCTCTGTTCTGTTCCATTGGTCTATATATCTTTTTTGGTACCAGTACCATGCTGTTTTGGTTACTGTAGCCTTGTATTATAGTTTGAAGTCAGGTAGCATGATGCCACTGGCTTTGTTCTTTTGGCTTAGGATTGATTGGAAATGCGGGCTGTTTTTTGGTTCCATATGAACTTTAAAGTAGTTTTTTCCAATTCTGTGAAGAAAGTCATTGGTAGCTTGATGAGGATGGCATTGAAAGTATAAATTACCTTGGGCAGTATTGCCATTTTCACAATATTGATTTTTCCTACCCATGAGCATGGAATGTTCTTCCATTTGTTTGTATCCTCTTTTATTTCATTGAACAGTGGTTTGTAGTTCTCCTTGAAGAGGTCCTTCACATCCCTTGTAAGTTGGATTTGTAGGTATTTTATTCTCTTTGAAGCAATTGTGAATGGGAGTTCACTCATGATTTGGCTCTCTGTTTGTCTGTTATTGGTGTATAAGAATGCTTGCGATTTTTGCACATTGATTTTGTATCCTGAGACTTTGGTGAAGTTGTCTATCAGCTTAAAGAGATTTTGGGCTGAGATGATGGGGTTTTCTAGATATACAATCATGTCTTCTGCAAACAGGGACAATTTGACTTCCTCTTTTCCTAATTGAATGCCCTTTATTTCCTTCTCCTGCCTGATTGTCCTGGCCAGAACTTCCAACACTATGTTGAATAGGAGTGGTGAGAGAGGGCAACCCTGTCTTGTGCCAGTTTTCAAAGGGAATGCTTCCAGTTTTGGCCTATTCATGATGATATTGGCTGTGGGTTTGTCATAGATAGCTCTCATGATTTTGAGATATGTCCCATCAATACCTAATTTATTGAGAGTTTTTAGCCTGAATGGTTGTTGAATTTTGTCAAAGGACTTTTCTGCATCTATTGAGATAACCATGTGGTTTTTGTCTTTGATTCTGTTTATATTCTGGATTATGTTTATTGATTTGCATATGTTGAACCAGCCTTGCATCCCAGGGATGAAGCCCACTTGATCATGGTGGATAAGCTTTTGGATGTGTTGCTGGATTTGGTTTGCCAGTATTTTGTTGAGGATTTTTGCATTGATGTTCATCAAGGATATTATTCTAAAATTCTCTTTTTTTATAGTGTCTCTGACAGGCTTTGGTATCAGGATGATGCTGGCCTCATAAAATGAGTTAAGGAGGATTCCCTCTTTTTCTATTGATTGGAATAGTTTCAGAAGACATGGTACCAGTTCCTCCTTGTACCTCTGGGAGAATTCGGCTGTGAATCCATCTGGTTCTGGACTTTTTTTGGTTGGTAAGCTATGGATTATTGCCTCAATTTCAGATCCTGCTATTGGTCTATTCAGAGATTCAACTTCTTCCTGGTTTAGTCTTGGGAGGATGTATGTGTCGAGGAATTTATCCATTTCTTCTAGATTTTCTAGTTTATTTGCATAGAGGAGTTTATAGTATTCTCTGATGGTAGTTTGTATTTCTGTGGCATTGGTGGTGATATCCCCTTTATCATTTTGTATTCCGCCTCTTTGATTCTTCTCTCTTTTCTTCTTTATTAGTCTTGCTAGCAGTCTATCAATTTTGTTGATCTTTTCAGAAAACCAGCTCCTAGATTCATTGATTTTTTGAAGGGTTTTTTGTGTCTCTATTTCCTTCAGTTCTGCTCTGATCTTACTTATTTCTTGCCTTCTGCTAGCTTTTGAATGTGTTTGCTCTTACTTCTCTAGTTCTTTTCATTGTGATGTTAGGATGTCAATTTTAGGTCTTTCCTGCTTTCTCTTGTGGGCATTTAGTGCTATAAATTTCCCTCTACACACTGCTTTGAATGTGTCCCAGAGATTCTGGTATGTTGTGTCTTTTTTCTTGTTGGTTTCAAAGAGCATCTTTATTTCTGCCTTCATTTCGTTATGCACCCAGTAATCATTCAGGAGCAGGTTGTTCAATTTCCATGTAGCTGAGCAGTTTTGAGTGAGTTTGTTAATCCCGAGTTCTAGTTTGATTGCACTGTGGTCTGAGAGACAGTTTGTTATAATTTCTGTTCTTTTACATTTGCTGAGGAGTGCTTTACTTCCAACTGTGTGATCAGTTTTGTAATAGGTTTGGTGTGGTGCTGAGAAGAATGTATATTCTGTTGATTTGGGGTGGAGAGTTCTGTAGATGTCTATTATGTCTGCTTGACTTCACCTTGGTTTTTGTCATCTAGTTTTGACTCCCATTCAGTCTCAGCACAAGGTGTCTCCTCTATGCCACCCTATAAGTTTACTCTGAACCAACATGTTCCCTCCTCTGACCAGTTTGCCCGTCAGCCTGCAGTTACTTCTGAGTCTGCTCAAAGAGAAGCTCAGGAACATTCCCCTTTAAGACCTCTATCTTTCCAACCTTTGTGAGATGCTGACTTTATTCATTGTTGTTGTGGTCCAAATCATTGGATTGCAAAGTGGCCTCTTCTTAGTGTCCCAAATAGGGAACATGAGGACAAAAAGTATCTTCTATTGAGGAACAAAGCTTGGAGAAGCAAAGTTTTACACATTAACTCATTTTGCACTGCTAATCACTCTTTCTCCTCTGCTCACAATTTTCTCAGGGTCATAAAGACAAGACTTTTCCTTCTTCTTCTCATCTGTACCTATTTTATCTAAAACTATAAGGTGTCAACTGCTACAACTGTCCCTTAAAATGGAGTTAAAATAATTTATAGAATCCTTATCAAGATAAGAGTTTTGCATATAATGTATTGTTTTATTGATAAGTTATATTTTTGGAATGTCAGAAACTGAATATTACTTAATGGTAATATTTGAATTCTTTCTGTAATTCATCCTAATCTGTCCCCAGCCATGGGATATCTCATGGAGCCTGGAATGAAGGTTATATATATAAAGCAAAAGAAGTAAGAAACTTTTCCCCAATCATTTGGCATAGGTTTCTATAAGCAAGCTAGCCAAGAGACAGCTTAGAAACAACTGTATGAGTGGTTAAGTGTGCATGTAGATGTGTGTGTCATGCCCTTTTTTTAGGGTGAGGCCCAAGCATCAAATTTATCTTAGAAGCCCCGTAGTTAATTTTGTGTATGGCCGAGATGGAGAGTCACCATTGTATGCGTGCATAAATAAATAGAATATTGATGCTTAAAAGGTTGTGCATTGTATCTTATGAAAAGCCGTTAGTTTTTAAGGGTCTTCCAAGCTTATATTTAAAGTTCTTTTATCTATTAAGACAGTTATTAATTTTATTCACATGAATAAGTGATAAACCAAATGCCTTTATTTAAACATTATCTAAATCTAGCATCAGATTGCATAACAGAGACAGCCTTATCCCATGTGGCTGAAAGGAGAGTGGCTTAGAAGCTTTCACAATTCCCAAACTTCATAAAGATTTGAAGGCACATGAATCAAAATAGAACCTACATGCCTAGTAAAAATTCTCATTATTAAATATTATCAGTCTGAATTAAAAGTCTGAAATTTTCCTGTTTCTTCATTATCCAATAGCAGTAGCCTCCCAGTGAGTGCAGACACTTTATTGGTTTTGACAAAATATATTTAATATTACACTCAAAATATTCAACTGCATGAATGAAATTTTTGTATTGCAAACATTCTTTTATAAAGACCACAGAAAATAAGAGGGAAATGGACATCCCATAGAAGCGCTAAGGCCAAGGACTGAGACCTTGGGCAAATCCCACTGTCAATCTATGTCCAGTCATGACTGGACAACATATGCAAGGCAGCAGCACTGGCACTGCCAATATTGACTTTCCCATCCCATCTCTGAGAGATAATCGCCCTTTAAATCAAAACCTACAAGGTGTGAGAACTGCAGGAACTCACCATAATCTAAGAACTTGGTTCTTTTACATCCCAAGGGCATCATACATTTCCCTGAAATGACCTTTACTATTCCATGTCACTTTAACCAGTTCTCAAAAGTGAAAAAAAAAAAAACAAAAACAAAACAATTTTCAGATTAGAAGAGAAGAGGCTAAGAAGCATGTAATTCTGCTCATAATGGATTTTTACAGGCCTCACTGGAGTTAATTACTGAAAACTTGTATATGAAGTAATTAATTTCATGCAATTTAGCACCATCTGCAGATGCATTATTTTCATTCAAAATTATATAATTGATACAAACTTAAAATTGTTAGAAATTTTGAGAAAGCCATAATGTTTGCACCTTTGTTTACATTATCCAATTCGATAAAGAAATTATGTCTTATAGAAAACCCATTCAAAAATACCAACTGAATTACCTTTAAGATAGATGTTGAGGAAAAAACAAAACACAAATTCAAACTGCTAACCTTAACTTCAGAGGTTATTTAGTCTAACTTAGATTTCTAGGCTATAATCATGCACTCCTGCTGAAATCATACTGTACAGAGTCTTCAAAACTCTGTAGACTTACAAAGTTTTTATACAGATTGCAAAGTTTGTATTATTCCCATCCACATTTAAGAATCCCCACCTACTGCTCCCATAACGCTGGACTGCAGAGCACAATAATCCTCCAGTTGCACATACACTCCAGGATTTGTTCCCAAGAGCCCGATAAAAAAACTAATCAAAAGAGAGTATGAAGGGGAAGTAGAGTATACTACCCTTTTTTGTGGGCTCCCTGCCTTCTCATCATTAGTTTTGCTGTCTCACCCTTTTGTGGGCCCGTCCTAATTTATTTTGGGCCTTAGGCATGTGAGTCAGTACTTTCAGCTTTTCGTGATAGGTTTGAATAGCAGGTAAACCTTGCTAGAGCACAGCCCACTATGCCAAGATCTGAATTTATCAATCAGACACTGTGGAACAGCAGATTCTGTGATTTACACACTCAGACTATGGAATGCAATTTAAGATCAAGAACAGTGTATCATTTCCTTAATGATTATGATTCATCAGTGAGAGATCCAGGAAAATAAAACATCTGTGTTTTGGACATGGTCTCAAGATTATCCCATGGCAAAATCTTGGGGTGATGTGAGTCAAGGTGTGGGGTTCACCTAGATATGCTCCCTCTCATTCTTGGTGTAATGAGCACACATGCAATGCATTTGAAGAATTGGAGTAGATATTTCAGGCACCAATCACGGCGAGTGTTTTCTTGTATTAAATTAGCAGCATTCACTTCTCTGACAGGGTTGAAAACATTTGCTGACAGAGATACAGATTGTACAAAATATGTACCCTGAGAGCTCATCTTTATAACTATAAATGTAGGATTTGGTTTTTAAATTTTTTAAATGTGTTTTTTCTTTTACATGTGTATTTCTTATCCGCTAAGATGTACTGGCCTTCACTTGCTGTGAAATGAGTTGTCAGAGAAGCAACAATATATGACTGTTACCTCTTTTTTTTTTTTTTAAACATTGCCTTAAAACTCATCACAGAAAATTATATAAGCCATGTCTTCATGGCAAGGAGAGAAAGCCACTTAAAAAATTGAATAATTAGTTTCTGAAATAAAATCTTTGTAACAGAGATTATTTATAACATCCTCACTATTTATATGGCTACTGTCCTTGTAAACCTTTTCCAATAATTTTAATTAAATAAATCTCACTTCTAAAAGTATAAAAGTAATAGCAGAAAAAATTCTAGGGCTTTGTCTGTAATTTAGTCCTACAGGCAAAATAAGTCATAGCAATTCTAATGTCATTTTTAGCAAAAGAAAGTCATGCAGTTTCAGACATTTATTTAACTGACATTTATGGGTAGGAAGTTTCACCTAGAAATCTTAAGAATGTGAAAACATGATAAGTCATCCATTTCTCTTTCTTGTACAGGTAATTTGATCTTTATCTCACACCTTCACACTTCAACACTGGAATGAAGTCTTTGTACCATCTAAACTGAATGGTAGGACCGAAAAGAAACAAAGTCAGAGGCTCAGGAGGCCAATTCACAGTGAGAGCTAGATAAAATCACCCAAGACTAAATGCTGTTATTGAACTAAGTTGGAGCAATTTAACACTGATTTTGACATCAGAAGACTAAAGTTCATGCAATATTTTATCTGTTAAAGAAGAAGCTACAACCTGTGCTGAAAACAATTTGACTTTTTAAAATCAATGCTTTAGTGATCCATACTTTTTTAAATGTAAACTATGGCTACAATCGTTGGTTACCAACTTCTGTTAGTATGTTTTGTCCCATAGCCTTATTTCAACACCTCAGGATAAGCTAGCAGGCCACATTTTAAAATAAAGATGTTCTCATGTGCATGTTTAAAATATTTTTGAGCTAGGTGAGAAGCTTAAAATGTGGTTTTTAAAAGATATTCTTGTGTTTGAGGAGATTATCTCCATTTTTATGCTTAAAGATTTAAAATTGGAGTTTTATAAATATAGAAGTAGACTTTCTGTGGAATTAGTAAACATCTATCTTTCTCACCCTCACAGCAAAAAGATGAAAATAAATGACTAAAACATATGTAAACCCTCAAGAGTGAGTTAATAGGAGAGGAGTCAACATGAAATGTCAGGAAATTTTGGAAGATGAATTATGAGAGAACTTCAGTGGAAGAGCACAGGGAGGTGAAAATCAAGTGCCTGAAGAAAGAGGCACACCAGTGACCATTCGGAACCTACAAAAGGCAAAGTTGATGGGAATGTTAGATACCACAGGGGAGAGTAAGATACAGAGGTAAAAGGAGCAGAAATAATCTCAAAGGGTTCCCAGTTCTCTGCCTGATCCCACTAACCAGGTAGTCACTTCTTCTCTGTACAAAGGAGACCTGGTAGGTTCTTCTTGGATGAATTGAAAATAGGTGACAGCCTCGGATACTAAGCGTAGCTGAGACAGTTGCAAGGCTCAGGCCTAAAAACACAAGTTATCAATGGATAACTACATACTTAATGCTGAGACCCTACCACCTTCCCTAGCCAGACTGACCCTAAAACAGAAGAATGGAGAAGCACTTTCTGAAGAAACCAAAAAATCCCAGAGAAAGAAACATAGATACTGACATTAGATAATTTCCAATAGGATAAAATTTGTCAAATTTCGCTAACATCACTTTCATGAAGGTCCTAGTACACAGCTTTTCCCATGCACACAATCTCCATCTGGCTTCTCGGTGCTCACTCACAGACACCCAAATATAACAAACATTTGAGGAAAAAGCCTGAATGAGACAGACACAAAAATTAACAAAAAATGCGGAAATATGAGACAATTGAAACAATAGAGTGAACAGGAGAAATTTGTCAAAAATTTAAATTAACTTCCCAAAATATTAAATATTACATCTATGCAGCAAAAATGGGATGTTATTCAAAATGAAATGTTTTTTAAATAGATGAAATACATTTAAAACTCATTAGAAGGATTAGAAGACAAAGGCTTAGACCATTTTGAGAAAATCTCACAAAAAAGCAGAATAAAAACAAAGAAATGGAAAACAAAACAGAAACAAAAGCCTGCAAGAATGAAGAGAATTTTTCAAGAGATTTAACAGTTGCCTAACAGGAGTTCCTGAAAGAAAATACATTGTCAGAAATATAGAAAAATGATCAAAAAATTATACAAGAAATTACCCTGTGCTAAAATCCTTTAGCAATGTCTACAAATTGAAAAGACATTTTTAGCATCAGTAGAAAAAAACTGATATCACAGCCTATTCTGAAATTTCACAGCACTAGGGATAAAGAAAACTCTGACAGGAAATGGTATTTAGCCCAAATTTTTACAGACAAACTGTTAATCAAATGCAAAGATAAAATAAAAATACTTTTGGGCATGAACTACCTCTAAACAGTTACCTCCTCACCTTTTCAATGGAAGCTACTGGAAATCTAGAGATAAAACCAAGAAAGAGTTATAATGGAATCCAGAAAACTAGGGACTCAATATAAGAGCAAGGCAAAGGGAATTCCCAAGAACATGAAAAGCCAAGCAAAGGTGTAAAACAGGTATAGAGAGCAACTGGTCTAGACCAGTACAGAAAGAATCCGGGAGCATGGCCTAATGAACAACTCTGACTGATAATTGGCTAAACCCCATAGAAAACTGTATTACAGATGCTAATGGAAAATGTACAAATAAAATTAAAATTGAGTACACAAAAAATAGGAATGCAAAAAGGAGGTAAATGCCCAGAAAAAAGTATGTAAAGAATAATATTTAATAAAAATAATATGTTTGGCTCAGCAGTTAACAATATTTACATAGTCCCAATCAACAGTGCAAAAATTCAATTAATCAAAAATCAAGATACTAGGGAAAGATGCAAAGGCATTATAATAATACAAAGAAACAAAATCCTCAAGTTGCACACTGGAAGACAGCAAACAATGTATAGAATGGAGATATTTGAAATTAGAGCATTAGTATATGACTTAGAAATGTGAATATTCAAAGTGGCCCCCACTAGGAAAACCCACCACTCCTGATCACCCCCCGCCGACAAAATGAGGAAATGGTTTTGGTTTTAAGCTTTTTTGTGTCATTTAGCTTTTGAAAACATATGCATGAATACTGTTAAAAAATAAGTAGCATTTAGAAATAAGGATAATTCCAACTATACCTATTTTACTTTACTAAAAATATAACTCAATTTGTATGCTAGCAATATTAACAAAATTATCAATATTATTATAAAAAAGTAGACCATTTTTCAAGAGTGCTTGTGAAAACTTATGAAATATTTAAATATACTCACTAACAAGGCAGGAAATCTAATGTTTTTGTTGAAAGTATATTGAGAGAAGTATAAACCGTATTTTCATATTTACAATATACTGTTTAAAAGAGGGAACATTTTGCAATTATAAAGTTAAATATGTATGCCATTTAGAGAAGCCTGAATTCAGCTCCAAGGCTTCCAAATAAGAAATAAATAATGTACCCAATAAATTAACAAAATATTTCCTCAACATTATTATGTTTACCAAAGAATAGAAACAAATACAAAGAAGTAAAAGAAGAAATATTCTCACTTAACAATTCTCACATTGTCACAGGGAGAAAATAAACATTGTTTTCTGATTTTGATAATTTTTCATCACAGTGGATTATCTCCCGGATGTGAAATTAATTATGCTCTTCTTGTAAAGTCACTTTCATAATTATTTTAAAATGGTCTAAATAGACTAAGGTAATGAAAGTAGACATATTCATGTATTCCATTCATTCTCATAAAGGGTGATCCTCAGAATACAAAAGAATATGATGGATAAATCCTTAAGCTTCCATATATCTACTTTTAGGCATATTACAAATAAATTAAGATAAAACAACCCACATTCCATCTCATTAAAACTTGGCAAATCTTTGGATCTGCTTAGAGACACTGAATGTATATAGAAGAATAACTATTATTATTTATGCTTATAAAATGTTTGTTTACATTGTTTTTCTGCCTTTCTATAACCATCCTGTTGTCTTGGTGACACTGGTACTATTCCAAAAGGTTTTGCCCAACTCATGTAACTAATAAAGCAGAATTAAGACTCAAACCCAGGTCTTCTGACTATGATATGATATTCTTCCTACTACTTTCTCTGAACGTTTGGATTTAGGAAGGACACCTGTTTCTAATTGAATAGTCATATACTTAATATTTTTAATGAATATCTCTCCTTTTTACTAGTTAATATTACCCACTGCAGGAAACCAAAATATTAAACCCTATAATATACTTATTTGATGTATTTCAAGATGGCATTTCAGTGAAGATAGAAATACAAGAATAATTGAAAAGCTGACTTTTGTGGAGATTTGCATCTGTAGAAGAAATAAAGTGAAGTGTGCAACAGATGCAAACAGGCTCTCTCTGAACCACACCACCCCTTGTCTGAATCTAGGAAAGATTTACTGAGCGTCTGATGCCTTTAAAGGTCTGACAAAAACATTTAGCATCTATTCTCTCTGATGGCTTCTACCTTCAAGGTTTTCATTGCATGGTAAGACCACCTTTGCTAGCCAAGTCTTTCTTTTCTCTCCCTTTCATAACCCATTTTGCCCCCATAATCTGTCACATTCCAAGTCCCTGTTCTTTCTATAATTTCAAGATGATATAAAAGCATCAACTATGTTACCTTTCTTTAAGTTTTTATACTTCATATAATTCCCGTGCAAACAAGTACATGTAATAAAATTCGTATGCCTTTTTTCCCCTTTAATCTGTCTATTATCGGTTTGTTTCACAGACTCAAATTATTCACTCTTCAGGGGGAAAATTTAAACTTCTCTACAGTTTTGATGCAGTGAATAGGTTAACAAATTTACTAGTTAATATTACCCACTGTAGGAAACTTTATTCTGGAGCGTACAAACGGGATCTTGGGACAACTGACACAAAGCCAACAAAGAAAATAAGAATTTTTTTTTTTTACCAAGTCAGTTCTCCCAGATGTCTGCCTGGGACCCCAGGTCAAATGAGGGTGGTAAGAGCCCTTGCCTTTTTTCTTTCCCCAAATTGGATTAACAGGACAAAAACATACGTGAACTAGTTCACTTAGTAAATGAATGAATTGGCTATATTTAAAGGAAAGCTTTTTAGAGCACTCTTGTCTTAAACAGCCAGCCATGTTAATGGTACCTAGGAAAAGACTTAAAAAATAAGTATGGCCTTAGAAACTCCCTTGACAGATTGTTTTTAAAAGAAAACAGCAATCAGCTTTAAAAGAAAGCAAAATTATTCATACACTGGAACTGCCTGCTTTGGATCCCCTGTGGGATTTGCAATGAAGGCCATATTGTCTTCTAGTCAAGGAATTAAAATTCCATGCATTCATCACCATGCCCTGGTGTTCAGTTCCTGGAAAGGGAACTAGTCCCTTAGAAATAAAAGTCCTTTAACTCTGGAGAAGAAACATTTATAAAAATTGGTTTGATATTTGTGCAACTATTGACTTTTTAGGATACCCACTCATTATTGATTCCTTTCCCTTCCATGGCCAACTCTTGATTTTCTGTCTTACCAACTGCTTCTGGTAATGAGACACATGAGATTTTTGGCCTTTGCTTGCAGAACATCAGCTAAGAAGCTGAGACCATAGAGGATATGGCCAGATGGAAATGTGGTTTGTCCAGTCTATCATTGTTGGACATTTGGGTTGGTTCCAAGTATTTGCTATTGTGAATAGTGCCGCAATAAACATACGTGTGCACGTGTCTTTATAGCAGCATGATTTATAGTCCTTTGGGTATATACCCAGTAATGGGATGGCTGGGTCAAATGGTATTTCTAGTTCTAGATCCCTGAAGAATAGCCACACTGACTTCCACAAGGGATGAACTAGTTTACAGTCCCACCAACAGTGTAAAAGTATTCCTATTTCTCCACATCCTCTCCAGCACCTGTTGTTTCCTGACTTTTTAATGATCGCAATTCTAACTGGTGTGAGATGGTATCTCATTGTGGTTTTGATTTGCATTTCTCTGATGGCAAGTGATGGTGAGCATTTTTTCATGTGTTTTTTGGCTACATAAATGTCTTCTTTTGAGAAGTGTCTGTTCATGTCCTTCGCCCACTTTTTGATGGGGTTGTTTGTTTTTTTCTTGTAAATTTGTTTGAGTTCATTGTAGATTCTGGATATTAGCCCTTTGTCAGATGAGTAGGTTGCAAAAATTTTCTCCCATTCTGTAGGTTGCCTGTTCACTCTGATGGTAGTTTCTTTTGTGTGTTGTCAATTGTATCTTTAGCCATGACCATTTTAAGTTTTGTTGACCATATTAAATAGCTTTATTTGAAAGCTATTTTTCTAAAAGCACTTTGCAAATTCTACAGTGTTGTGTCTTCAAGGAGATTCATGGAAAGGATAAACAACCCTGATTGATAGATACTCTCAAATACAGACCTCTGCTTATAACTTTGAAATTATTCAACTTGACTAGGTAAAAATTTCAAAAACTCCAATGGAAAAAAATTGGATATATAAAATAGTTTTTATGAGTTTCATAAGCAGAATGGTAATTAATTACATGGTAGAAAAATGATAGAGGACTAAAATAATTTTTATGACTTTTTGTTTGAAATATTATTGCTTCTTTTTATGTTTTGTTTTCCAGAGTTAAGAAAACTTTATTATTTTAGGTTATTTATAGCTTATAGAAATTGAATAAAGTATACTTTTATAAGAAAAAATGGAAACATTTACCTTTCTTTCTATCTGAGCTCTCCAGAATTTGAAAATTATTTTTGAGTGTTCTTATTTTATGGCAATATAGTCATTTGTAGAAGTTCAATAAAAATCAGATTTTTTTTGTATCAGGACACAATTAGAAATGATAGTTATTTTACTACAGCTTTGACTGGCATGTCATATTCAGATATGACCACACTGCTTTAAGAAATTGAGGTTGACTTTAAAGCCAATAGATTTGGAAAAGGACTGGTCTGGTACCTTGTTTACAGTTTCCTTACAGAGTTCCTGATCTTGAGGTAAGTAAAAAAATGTCACTTTCTAATAGGCTTAGGAACCTCAAAATATTTTGGGGTCCTTGAGAAGAGAATAACTCACCCAATTTGTAGAGATATTACAGACATTGTCTTTAGGTTAGCTCATAAACCTTCAGAGGTTTTTAAAAATCTAATCTGAAACCTCTTATGAGAAAGTTCCCATTAAGCCAAGTTAAAAAGAGACTACATGGCCACTTACTATTTTTGCTGTACTTTGTGCAAAAATCAGACCAAGTTTAAGACCAAAATATTTAAGAAATAAATTTGCCTTATTATGATTTGTTTTTAGTAGAAGCAGGGGACTAGAGAGAGAAAAATTATGTTTCAGAAGAAAACCTATAGTACATTTGTTATTAAATTCTAATCCTGAGCAATGCTTGAGATTTTGCTGTTTACCTGCAATCTGGACTATATGCTTAACTTCAGTTCCTCAAATATCTGTCTGTGGCTCTTTAGACTAACATTTCTAATTTTCTCCCACCATTCTGACTTAAAATCACTAGAAATTAAAACTGCTCTTCTTGAAGCACTGCAAACTGAGGCTAGGCAACTTGTAAACTTTGGGATAAATCACTACAGCAACTCATATATAACAAGTCTTAATGTCTGTTGCTGTATGGACAACTCAGAAAGTTCACTTGAATATCTAATTCAAACTACAATCCAGAAAATTCTGTTAGATTGCCACTTCAACTGAAGATGCTTCAGACACTCTAGAATAGTTTTCCTAGAGTAGTTCATAGACTACTCCAGATATTAACCTTTGCTTTTTTTCTGTATCTGTAGAAATGCCTCATATTAAAGACCTGTTTGCCTGCATCATATATGGAATCCTAACTTTGATGAGAACCTGTCTATAACAGCACCTCCTGAAATAAGATTCAACTGTTTAACAAAATAGACCCATTTTCAGTACTAAGAGAATGATTCAAGAAGACATGAGGTAATATATTTAAATTTGCTCTTTCTACTAATTTCATGTTTTCTTCCCCTTTCACTTAATCTCTTACCTAAAACCTCTAACCCAAATCTCTCCAAAGCTATCCTCTCGGTTTTTAACATATGAATTTTTCCAAAAGTAAAGTTTCAGAAGGGAGATGAAATCAAAATAACCCCAAAATATACATCTTGCATATATTTTAATATGACTATTCAGGAGAGCTGGAAATACAAGAATAGCTGAAAAGTTGATGTTTGTAAAGGATACTTGCCTCTGCAGAGGAAATGAAGTGAAGTAAACAGCAGATGCAAACAGCCTGTATCTGAACATCCCCCCAACCTGCAGATGTCTGGACCTAGAAAAGATTAACTGAGAGTATGACACCTTTTCACTGAGAGTATGACACCTTTAAATGTCTGGCAAGAACAATTACCACTGGCTACCATCTATTCTTTCTGAGGACTGCTACCTGTGAGATTTCATCTGCATAACAAGACTGCTTTGCTAGTCAGACCCTTCCCCTTCTCTCCTTCCCAAAACTTATCTGATCACCATAACCTGTCATGTTCTGAGTCCCCGTTTCTTTCTTTCAGTAACCTCAAGATGGTATAAAAACATCAACCATATTGCATTTCTTTGAGTTTTTCTATTTTGTATGACTCATGTGAACACACATGCATGTAATAAAATATGTATGGCCCTTTTCCCTTAAATTCATCTCTTATCAGTTTGTTGTATAGACTCAAATTATCAAAACTTTAGGGGGAAAATTTAAAATTCCCTACATCATCCAGTTATATTGAAAACATTTACATAATATGTAAATAGAGATTCCTGACAACTTACAGTCCTCGGCACTTTTGTTTAAAAATTAAAGTCTAAATATGAAAAAACCCTCCAATAACCCCTTTTTCAACTAAAGTTATTACCTTCCAGTGTTTTTGCCACATAGTGGCAAGATTAAGAACCACATGTATATAAGTATTTTCCAACACCTAGTGAATATTTTGTATAGCAAATCAAAGCTAGTTGAGTTTCTTCTGGTTTGTGTGTTTCTTTAAAGTCTTGCTGAATCAAGCAAGAGGGAGCAAAATAAAAGTTAGCTGATTTGCTACATTACATAATAAGTTAAACAGCTCTTCTAATTGAATGAGATTTTACACTGTGATTTTAAAAATGTGATTGCTGTATAAGTTGATCCTCAGCCATTTACTGTCAAATGTATACTGCTACAATATGTCTTATTGGAGCTTTTGTAGTTAATCAGTTCATTTGATTCAAACATGTTGTTGATAGGCTTGAGGTAATACTTTTGATTCCCTTATCATCCAGTTAACTCCATTCCATTTATGCCTACAGACTACATCACTAACTATAGCCAGCTACCTCAGGATCCTGAACTATTGGTTACAAGGTAATGATGTGAAAATTAAACTAACTTAATACATCTCTTCTAAAGAAAAGAAAAGAAGATGTCCTATATTTGTGTTGCTTATTTTCATATATGAAGGAGAGCATATATACATATTTTTAAATATTCCTAATATTAAATTGAAAAATTTTCCTTCTTTACTCATATCACCAGTAATTTCATAGGACACTTTATCAGTCAGGACCCAACCAGAAAAAGACAAGCCACTATTAGTATTTAAAACAGAAAAAATTTGGTACCAGGAATTGGTACACAGATGATAGAGTTGCTCAGAAGCTACCCAGGAGTAGTGAAGCAATCCACAGATTAGCAATTGAAGAAAGATGGAAACATTTCTAAATTGGTGATGAAAAGAAACTGGGGGTATTAACAGAGGCCGGGGCCAGAGTCACCTGGTGGAAGCTGGGAGCACAATGGGCCTGTCTGGGGAAGGCAGAGCCAAAGAAGAGATGTAGCTAGTATAGATGATGCTACTTGAGACAGACAGAAAGGGCAGGAAACACCCTAGCTTCTCCCTTCTTCCTGCCCTCTTATTTCAAGTGTTTCTCTCATTGTCCAGAGTTGGAAACCAGTGACAGGAAAGGGTGGAAAGCATAGTTTATGGGAATCAGCTCCATGAGCTAGAACAGAGGAAGAAATTGATTAAAGGGCAAATGGGTCAAGGATTGGATCGGACATTCAATGTGTTGGGAAACAGGAAGAAAGACATACAAATTTATTACCATGCACATGTGTTCACAGGAGTCATACAAAGTATAAAAAAAGAAAGGCAAGATAGTTGATGCACAAATATCCTTTTTATTGGAGATATGGGGAATGGGGGTTGTAGGAGTAAATGATTTTCAGGGGAAATCAATGAGCCCAAAGAACAATGAAGTGGGGCCAAGTTTCTCTGAACCCTGAGGGAGGTGGCATTATAGATTATAGAGGAGTGAAGGAAGGAAAGTATTTCAAGCAAAGGCTGTTCTGTTCTGCAGATGAAAATATCTCAGGAAATGTTGGAGCTTCCCCCTGAAAACATAGATGGGAGCCTATGATTGAGTTAATCTTTCCTAGATACAGACAAGAAGATGGGTTCAGAGAAAGCCTGAGTGTTTTATGTTATCAATGCAATTTTTTCTACAGGTGCAAATCTCCTCTACAATAGGCAGCTTTGTAGGGTTATTCCTGTCTGCAGGCCCTCTGAGTAGCCATCTAAAACTATGTCAGGTAAGTATATCAGGGGGTGAAATGTTTCTGATTTCCTTTAAATGCAAGTATCTGCAGGCATACCTCATTTTACTGTGCTTAGCTTTATTGCAATTTGCAAATATTGTGCTTTTCACAATTAAAGGTTTGTAACAACCCTGCATCAAGCAAGTCTACTGGTGTGAATTTTCCAACAGCATGTGCTCCCTTTGTGTCTCTGTGTCACATTTTGGTAATTCTCATAATATTTCCAACTTTTCCATTATTATTTTATCTGTTATGGTGCTCTGTGATCAGTGATCTTTTATGTTACTATTGTAATGGTTTTGGAGTGCCAGAAACCATACCTATGTAAGATGGTGAACTTAACTGATAAACGTTGTGTGTGTTCTGGCTCCTCCACAGACTGGCGCTTCCCCTCACTCTCTTCCTCTTTTTGAACCGTTTTATTCCTTGAGATATTAGACCAGTTAATAACCTTACAATGGCCTCTAAGTGTTCAAGTGTTCTTTCACTTTAAATCAAAAGCTAGGTGCAAAAAGGATGCTGCAAAAGTAATGTTGCAAAAGTAATTGCAGTTTTGGACTGTGAATTTTAAATCATTATAACTAGGCTCAAACACATCTTTATTAATGAAAATAGGAACCGTTACATTCAACACATTTTTGCCAATGAGAAATAAGTTTGTTTATTCCTGTAGCATAAAAATCTGTGCTTTGGGATTCGATGAAGTCTTGGAAAGCATTTTCTGCATCCTACTCATTGTGGAAGTGTTTTCCCTGCAAACTGCAAAAAATCATCAAGATGCTTGAAGAAGTGGTAGTCAGTTGGCAAGAAGTTAGGAGAATATAACGGATGAGGCAAAAGCTGGTGGCCCAATTCATTCAACTCTTGAAGAGTTGGTTGTGTGATATGCAGCTGGGTGTTGCAGAGAAGAATTGTGCTCTTTCTGTTGACCAATGCCGGCTGCAGGCATTGCAGTTTTCGATGCATCTCATCGATTTGCTGAGTATACTTCTCAGATGAAATGATTTTGCCAGGATTCGGAAAGCTGCAGTGGATCAGACCAGCAGCAGACCACGAAACAGTGACCATGAACTCTTTTTGGTGCAAGTTTGGCCTTGGGAAGTGCTTTGGAGCTTCTTCTCAGTCGAGATACTGAGCTGGTCATCACCAGTTGTCATGTATAATCAACTTTTCATTTCACTTCACAATCCAGACATGAAATGATTCGTTGTTATTGCATAACATAAGACAAGGTGACACTTCAAAATGACAATTTGTTTTTATTTTCAGTCAGCTCATGAGGCACCTACTTATTGAGCTTTTTCACCTTTCCAATTTGCTTCAAATGCCAAACAACTGTAGAATGGTTGATACTGAGTTCTTCAGCAATTTCTCATATAGTCATAAGAGGATCAGTTTGGATAATTGCTCTCAATTGGTCGTTTTCAACTTCCCATGGCTGGCCACTATCTCCTCATCTTCAAGGCTCTCATATCCTTTGCAAAGCTTCTTGAACCACCAATGCACTGTATATTCTTCAGCAGTTTCTGCACCAAATGCATTGCTGACATTGAGAGTTGTCTCCACTGCTTTATGACCCATTTTGAACTCAAATAAGAAAATCTCTCTAATTTGCTTTTTGTTTAACATCATTTCCATAGTCTAAAATAAATATAAAATAAGCAGTAAGTAATAAGTCATTAGCAAAATAGTAAAGCAAGAAATGCACATTAAAATGATATATAACAGGCCGGGCGCGGTGGCTCACGCCTGTAATCCCAGCACTTTGGGAGGCCGAGGCGGGTGGATCATGAGGTCAGGAGATCGAGACCATCCTGGCTAACAAGGTGAAACCCCGTCTCTACTAAAAATACAAAAAAAATTAGCCGGGCGCGGTGGCGGGCGCCTGTACTCCCAGCTACTCGGGAGGCTGAGGCAGGAGAATGGCGTGAACCCGGGAAGCGGAGCTTGCAGTGAGCCGAGATTGCGCCACTGCAGTCCGCAGTCCCGCCTGGGCGACAGAGCGAGACTCCGTCTCAAAAAAAAAAAAAAAAAAAAAAAAAATGATATATAACAACAACATTTATTAAGAATTTATTCCAATATCAAACAGCAAATTCCAACAATGCAAAAACAACAATTACTTATGCGCCAACCTAAATGATCAAGCTTAGTGAGGAAAGCATATTGAAAGCTGACATAGGCTGAAACCTGGGACTCTTACATCAAACACTTAGCCAAGTTTGGAATGCAAATGAAAAAAGCTTGAAGGAAATTTAAAGTGCTACTCCAGTGAACACAAGAATGGTAAGAAAGTAAAACAGCCTTATTACTGATATTGAGGAAGTTTGCATGATATGGATAGATCAGACCAACCACACTATTTCCTTAAGCCAAAGCCTAATCCGTAGCAAGACTCTAACTCTGTGCAGTTCTGTGGAGGTGAGTAAACTGCAGAAGAAAAGTTTAAAGTTAGTACAGGTTAGTTCATGAGGTTGAAGGAAAGAAGGCATCTCCATAACATAAAAATGCAAGATGAAGCAGCAAATGCTGATGTAGAAGCTGCAGCAAGTTACCCAGAAGATCTTGCTAAGATCATTGATGAAGGTGGCTACAGCAAACAACATATCTTCAAGTAGATAAAATAGGCTTTTATTGGATGAAGCTTCCATCTAAAACTTTCATAGAGAGGTTTAATTCAATGCCTGGTTTCAAAGGTTCAAAACGCAGGCTGACTCTCTTGTTGGGGGCTAATAACGCAGCTGGTGACCTTAAGTGGAAGCCAATGCTCATTTACCATTCTAAAAATCCTAGGGGCCTTAAGAATTATGCTAAATCCACTCTACAAATGCTCTATGAATGGAACTACAAAGACTGGATGACAAAACATCTGTTGACAGCATGGTTTGCTGAATATTTTAAGCCCAATGTTGATACATACTGATCAGAAAAAAATTTTTTTTCAAAGTGTTACTGCTCATTGGCAATGCATCTGTTCACCTAAGAGCGCTGTTTGAGATACACAAGGAGATTAATGTTCTTCTCATCCCTGCTAACATAACATCCATTCTGCAGCCCATGGATCAAGGGATAATTTTAGCTTTCTTGTTTCATTATTTAAGAAATACATTTTGAGGCCGGGTGCGGTGGCTCACGCCTGTAATCCCAGCACTTTGGGAGGCCGAGGCGGGCGGATCACGAGGTCAGGAGATCGAGACCATCCCGGCTAAAACGGTGAAACCTCGTCTCTACTAAAAATACAAAAAATTAGCCGGGCGTAGTGGCGGGCGCCTGTAGTCCCAGCTACTTGGGAGGCTGAGGCAGGAGAATGGCGTGAACCCGGGAGGCGGAGCTTGCAGTGAGCCGAGATCCCGCCACTGCACTCCAGCCTGGGCGACAGAGCGAGACTCCGTCTCAAAAAAAAAAAAAAAAAAAAAAAAAAGAAATACATTTTGAGCTGGGTGCGATGGCTTGCACTTGTAATTCTAGATACTCAGGAGGCTAAGGTGGGAGGACTGCTTGAGGCTATAAGAATGAGACCATCCTGAGCAACATAGTGAGACTTTGTCTCTAACCAAATAAAGAAAAGAAGAGAAAAAGCCAGAGCTCAGCAAGGCTGCTGTAGACAGACTGCCAGATTTTTCCTCTCTGGACAGGGAATCTCTGAAAAAAAGGCAGCAGCCCCAGTCAGAGACTTATAGATAGACCGCCCCATCTCCCTGGGACAGAGCACCTGGGGGAAGGGACGGCTGTGGGCGCAGCTTCAGCAGAATTAAATGTCCCTGCCTGATGGCTCTGAAGAGAGCAGCGGACCTCCCAGTACAGTGCTCGATCTCTGCTAAGGGTCAGACTGCCTCCTCAAGTGGGTCCCTGACCCCCGTGTATCCAAACTGGGAGATACCTCCCAGTAGGTACCGACAGACACCTCATACAGGAGAGCTCTGGCTGGCATCTGGCAGGTGCGCCTCTGGGACAAAGCTTTCAGAGGAAAGAACAGGCAGCAATCTTTGCTGTTCTGCAGCCTCCGCTGGTGATACCCAGGCCAACAGGGTCTGGAGTGGACCTCCAGCAAGCTCCAGCAGACCTGCAGCAGACAGACCTGACTGTCAGAAGGAAAACTAACAAACAGAAAGGAATAGCACGTCCACTCAAAGACCCCATCCGAAGGTCACCAACATCAAAGGCCAAAGGTAGGCAAATCCACAAAAATGGGAAGAAACCAGCGCAAAAAGGCTGAAAATTCTGAAAACTAGAATGCCTCATCTCCTCCAAAGGATCACAACTCCTCACCAGCAATGGAATAAAACTGGACAGAGAATGAGTTTGAAAATTGACAGAAGTAAGCTTCAGAAGGTGGGTAATAACAAACACCTTCAAGCTAAAGAAGCATGTTCTAACCCAATGCAAGGAAGCTAAGAACCTTGAAAAAAGGTTAGATGAATTGGTAACTAGAATAACCAGTTTAGAGAAGAACATAAATGACCTGATGGAGTGAAAAAACACAGCATAAGAACTTCGTGAAGCATACACAAGTACCAATAGCTGAATTGATCAAGTGGAAGAAAGGATATCAGTGATTGAAGATCAACTTAATGAAATAACGTGAGAAGACAAGATTAGAGAAAAAAGAATAAAAAGTACGAACAAAACCTACAAGAAATATGGGACTGTGTGAAAAAACCAAATCTACGTTTGATTGGTGTTCCTGAAAGTGATGGGTATAATGGAACCAAGTTGGAAAACACTCTGCAGGATATTATCCAGGACAACTTCCCCAACCTAGCAAGACAGGCCAACATTCAAATTCAGGAAATACAGAGAACACCACAAAGATACTCCTTGAGAAGAACAACTCCAAACCACATAATCTTCAGATTCACCAAGGTTGAAATGAAAGAAAAAATGTTAAGGGCAGCTAGAGAGAAAGGTCGGGTTACCCAAAAAGGGAAGCCCATCAGATTAACAGCGAATCTCTCTGAAGAAACCCTACAGGCCAGAAGAGAGTTGGGGCCAATATTCAACATTTTTAAAGAAAAGAATTTGCAACCCAGAATTTCATATCCAGCCAAACTAAGCTTCATAAGCAAAGGAGAATTAAAATCCTTCACAGAAAAGCAAATGCTGAGAGATTTTGTCACCACCAGGCCTGCCTTACAAGAGCTCCTGAAAGAAGCACTAAACATGGAAAGGAACAACCAGTACCAGCCGCTGCAAAAACATAACAAATTGTAAAGAATATCGACACTATGAAGAAACTGCATCAACCAGCAGGCAAAACAAACAGCTAGCATCGTAATGGCAGAATCAAATTCACACAAAACAATATTAACCTTAAATATAAATGGGCTAAATGCCCCAATTAAAAGACAAAGACTGGCAAATTAAACAAATTAAATAGTCCAGACCCATCAGTGTGCTGTATCCAGGAGACTCATCTCACAGGCAAAGACACACATAGGTCAAAATAAAGGGATAGAGGAATGTTTACCAAGCAAATGGAAAGAAAAAAAAAAAGCAAGAGTTGAAATACTAATCTCCAATAAAACAGACTTTAAACCAACACAGATCAAAAGAGACAAAAGGGCATTACATAATGGTAAAGGGATCAATGCAGCAAGAATAGCTAACTATCCTAAACATATATATGCACCCAATACAGGAGCACCCAGATTAATAAAGCAAGCTCTTAGAGACCTACAAAGAGATTTTGACTCCCACGCAATAATAGTGGGAGACTTGAACACCCCACTGTCAATACTAGACAGATCAACAAGACAGAAAATAAACAAGGATATTCAGGACTTGAACTCAGCTCTGGACCAAGTGGACCTAATAAACATCTACAGAACTCTCCACCCCAAATCAACAGAATATACATTCTTCTCAGTACCTCATCACACTTATTCTAAACTTGACCACATAATTGGAAGTAAAACACTCCTCAGCAAATGGAAAATAATGGAAATCATAACAAAGAGTCTCTCAGACCACAGTGCAATCAAATTAGAACTCAGGATTTAAAAAACTCACTCAAACTTCACAACTACATGGAAACTGAACAACCTGCTCCTGAATGACTACTGGGTAAATAACAAAATGAAGGCAGAAACAAAGATGTTTTTTGAAACCAATGAGAATGAAGACACAGCATACCAGAATCTCTGGGACACATTTAAAGCAGTCTGTCAAGGGAAATTTTTAGCACTAAATGCCCACAAGAGAAAGCAGGAAAAATCTAAAATTGATATCCTAACATCAAAATTAAAAGAACTAGAGAAGCAATGGCAAACAAATTTAAAAGCTAGCAGAAGACAAGAAATAACTAAGATCAGAGCAGAACTGAAGATGGAGACACAAAATCCCTTCAAAAAATCAATGAATCCAGGAGCAGGTATTTTGAAAAGATCAACAAAACAGAAAGACCACTAACAAGACTAATAAAGAAGAAAAGAGAGAAGAATCAAATACAAGCAATAAAAAATGATATAGGGGATATCACCACTGATCCCACTGAAATACAAACTACCATCAGAGAATACTATAAACACCTCTGTGCAAATAAACTAGAAAACCTAGAAGAAATGGATAAATTCCTGGATACATACACTCTCCCAAGACTAAACCAAGAAGAAGTTGAATCCCTGAATAGACCAATAACGAGTTCTGAAATTGAGGCAGTAATTAAGAGCTTACTAACCAAAAAAAGCACAGGACCAGAAAGATTCACAGCTGAATTCTACCAGAGGTACAAAGAGGAGCTGGTACCATCCCTTCTGAAACTATTCCAATCAATAGAAAAAGAGGGAATCCCCCCTAACTCATTTTATGAGGCCAGCATCATCCTGATACCAAAACCTGGCAGAGACACACAAAAAAAGAAAATTTCAGGCCAATATCCCTGATGAACATCGGTGCAAAAATCCTCAATAAAATACTAGCAAAGCGAATCCAGCAGCACATCAAAAAGCTTATCCACCATGATCAATTCATCTTCATCCCTGGGATGCAAGGCTGGTTCAACATACACCAATCAATAAAATGTAATCCATCACATAAACAGAACCGATGACAAAAAACACATGATTATCTCAATAGATGCAGAAAAGGCCTTCGATAAAATTCAACACCCTTTCATGCTAAAAACTCTCAATAAACTAGGTATCAATGGACTGTATCTCAAAATAATATAAGAGCTATTTATGACAAACCCACAGCCAATATCATACTGAATGGGCAAAAAGTGGAAGCATTCCCTTTGAAAACCAGCACAAAACAAGGATGCCCTCTCTCACCACTCCTATTCGACATAGTATTGGAAGTTCGGGCCAGGGCAATCAGGCAACAGAAAGAAATAAAGGGCATTCAAATAGGAAGAGAGGAAGTCAAATTGTCTCTGTTCACAGATGACATTGTTGTATATTTAGAAAACCCCGTTTTCTCAGCCCCAAATCTCCTTAAACTGGTAAGCAACTTCAGCAAAGTCTCAGGATACAAAATCAATCTATAAAATTAACAAGAATTCCTATACACCAATAACAAACAGAGAGCCAAATCATGAGTCAACTCCCATTCACAGTTGCTACAAAAAGAATAAAATACTTAGGAACATAACTTATAATAGATGTGAAGGACCTCTTCAAGGAGAACTACAAACCACTACTCAAAGAAATAAGAGAGAACACAAACAAATGGAAAAACCTTCCATGCTCATGGAAAGGAAGAATCAATATTGTGAAAATGGCCTTACTGCCCAAAGTAATTTATAGATTCAGTGCTATCCCCATCAAGCTACCACTGACTTTCTTCACAGAATTGGAAAAAGTTACTTTAAACTTCATATGGAACCAAAATGAGCCCACATAGCCAAGACATTCCTAAGCAAAAAGAACAAAGCTAGAGGCATCACACTACCTGACTTCAAACTATTCTACAAGGCTACAGTAATCAAAACAGCATGGTACTGGTACCAAAACAGATATACAGACCAATGGAACAGAACAGAGGCCTCAGAAATAATGCCACACATCTACAACCATCTTATCTTTGGTAAACCTGACACAAACAAGCAATGGGGAAAAGATTCCCTATTTAATAAATGGTGTTGGGAAAACTTGCTAGCCATAAGCAGAAAACTGAAACTGGACCCCTTCCTTACGCCTTACGCAAAAGTCAACTCAAGATGGGTTACAGACTTAAATGTAAGACTTAAACCATAAAAATCCTAGAAGAAAACGTGGGCAATACCTATCAGGACATAGGCATGGGCAAAGACTTCATGTCTAAAACACCAGAAGCCATGGCAACAAAAGCCAAAATTGACAAATGGGATCTAATTAAGCTAAAGAGCTTCTGCAAAGCAAAAGAAACTATCATCAGACTGAACAGGCAACATACAGAATGGGAGAAAATTTTTACAATCTATCCGCCTGACAAATGGCTGATATCCAGAATCTACAAAGAACTTAAACAAATTTACAAGATAAAAAAACAAACAACCCCATCAAAAAGTGAGCAAAGGATATGAACAGACACTTCTCAAAATAAGACATTTTTGCAGCCAACAAACATATGAAAAAATGCTCATCATCACTGATCATTAGAGAAATGCAAATCAAAACCACAATGAGATACCATCTCATGCCAGTTAGTATGGTGATCATTAAAAAGTCAGGAAACAACACATGCTGTAGAGGATTTGGAGAAATAGGAACACTTTTACACTATTGATGGGAGCGTAAATTAGTTCAAACATTGTGGAAGACAGTGTGGCGATTCCTCAAGCATCTAGAACGAGAAATGCCATTTGACCCAGCAATCCCATTACTGGGATTTATAATCCCAAAGGATTATAAATCATTCTACTATAAAGACACATGCACACATATGTTTATTGCAGCACTATTCACAAAAACAAAGACTTGGAACCATCCCAAATATCCATTAATGATAGACTGGATAAAAAATATGTGGCATAAAAACACCATGGAATACTATGCAGCCATAAAAAAGGATGAGTTCATGTCCTTTGCAGGGACATGGATGAAGTTGGAAACCATCATTCTCAGCAAACTATCGCAAGAACAGAAAACCAAGCACTGCATGTTCTCACTCATAAGTGGGAGTTGAACAAGGAGAATACATGGGCACAGGGAGGGGAGCATCACACACCAGGGCCTGTTGGGGGGTTGGGGGAGTGGGTGGAATAGCATTAGGAGAAATACCTAATGTAGGTGATGGGTTGATGGGTGCAGCAAGCCACCATGGCACATGTATACTTATGTAACAAAACTGCACGTTCTGCACATGTACCCCAGAATTTAAAATATAATAATAATAAAAAAGCCAGATGTGTTGGCCTGTGCCTATAGTTATAGCTACTTGAGAGGCTGAGGAAGGAGGATCACTTGAATCTAGGAGTTTGAGGCTGCAGAGAGCTATGGTTATGCCACTGCACTCCACTCTGGGTGACAGAGAGAGATCTCATGCCTAAAATAAAAATGAAAGAAAGACATACACTTTGAAAGGTTATAGCGGCCATAGATAGTGATTCCTCTAATGGATATGGGCAAAATACATTTAAAACCTTCTGGAAAGGATTCCTATTGTAGATGTCATTAATAACATTGGTGACTCATGAGAAGAGGTCAAAATATCAATATTAACAGCAATTTGGAAAAAGTTGATTCCAATCCTGTGGATAACTTTGAGGAGCTCAAGACTTCAGTGGACAAAGTGACTACAGGTGTAGTGGAACTAGCCAGATAGCTAGAATGAGAAGTGCACCCTAAAGATGGGACTGAATTGCTGAAATCTCATGATAAATATTGAATGGATGAGGAGTTACTGAAGGAGCAAAGAAAATGGTTTCTTAAAGAGCAAAGAAATTTGCCCTTGGTGAAGATGCTATGAGCAATGTTGAAGTGACAACAAAAATTTAGAATAGCACATAAACTTAGTTGATAAAGCAGTAGCAGGGTTTGAGAGGATTGCCTTCAATTTTGAAAGAAGTTCTGCAGTGGGTAAAATGCTATCAAACAGAAACCAACCACCACCCTGATCATTCAGCAACCAACAACAACAAAGCAAAACCCTCCACCAGAAAAAAGGTTACAACTCATTGAAGGCTTAGATGATTGTCAGCATTTTTTAGTAATATTTTTAATTAAGGTCTGTACATTGTTTTTTTGACACAATGCTATTACACACTTAATAGACTACAGTATAGTGTAAACATAGCTTTTATATGCACTGAGAAACCAACAAATCTGTGTGACTTGCTTTATTGTGATATTTGCTTTTTTGCAGTGGTCTAGAACTGAACCCACAATTTCCCCGAGGTATGCCTGTATTATAAAGATTTGGAATTGTGTAATATCTTTCTCTTGATTAATAAAGTTTTTTTCTCTGAAGTTCTTACAAATTTCAAAGGAGTTAACTAACTTTTAAAACTCTTCTAACTCTTCCATTTTATTTGATAAAAAGTACACTTCAGAACTCTTGCATAAATCTTAGAGTTTGTGTGTCAGGGAAAAAATCTTACGTCAATTATTTTCTATATACAAAGAATTAAATTTCCAATCTTGAAGCTTGGATATAAATAAATATATATACATAATTCTTAAATATTGATTAATTGCTTAAATATCGAGTCACTCACTTGTTTATCCAACAGAGCTTTATGAGCTCTTTCTGTATTATGAAAGCAAAAAATGCATTTACATTTTTGCTTACATACTGTGTCTACTCTGTAACTGAGGCCCCAAATAAATTTGATTCATGCCAAAAATTTTGCTGGGCACCTTGAAAGAGAGATATCCTATGAGATAGTCATAGCAATGCAAATTATTTTTACACTGTGCTATATGTGTTTCTGAAAAAAAAAAAAGCTATCCTAAATCTTTGGAATCCACCCAAGAAAAAAAAATCAGAAAATGTGAAATTGTCTAAGTCCACTGAATCAGTATAGTTACTGTCTATAAGATACTCCTAGGCTCAGAAATTATGTGCTCAGGAGATAAAGCATACTTCTAGAAATCAGGGCTTTGTTCTCCAGGAAACACTAAGGCTAGTAATCAAAATGAAACAAAGGCACCCAATGAAGATTCCCATAGGTAAAACTGCTTCCTAAGTGGATGTTTGATTGCTCTCAGCTTCTCCTTTTATGTTCATCTTTCTACCACAAAAGCCCATTCTCTGTGGCATTTCATAAGGTTGCTAATGATTTACTGTTGGTAGATGCAGGAGCCTAGAAGGGAGGTACACAGAAAGAGTGCATTTCTTAAAATGTAGGACATAAATAGATTTCAAAATTTTTGTCCCATTACTTTCACTTAGAAAAAAAAGGAATGTATTTTCTCCAAACATTTTCTGGTTACCATGGATCACTCTATGGATCTTTTCTCTATTCAAGGCAAGCTACTGCTATGCCTCTTTGGGTCTTCTTACTCTTGGAAAGAACCATTACATATCCATTCCCCAAGTGGACATGCCCCTGTTCAACTGTCACTGAAGTATCAGGAGTTATGATATAATGGTGCGGTGGGGAACAAGAGGTCTCTGCATGACCAAGAGCTTATTGTGGGAAATGAAACACTCCTGTTTATAAATGCTCCTTCAGCCATTCTCATTTGCCATCACAGGGTGTAGCATTCTGGCTTTCCTTGGTTTGTTGGCCTCCTTTCTCTTCCTTCTAGTGACTTTCTACTTACACTTTCCACTTCTCAACTTGTCAGGAAATTCAAAAAGTCTTATTTTATAGTACATTAAGGGCAACATAATGTTGGTTTGTCTCTCTCCTCAGCCTTCATAGCTATGTCTAAGCCTCATTTTCCATGTTTCATGAAAGCATTTTGCTAAACAAGTGTAAACCTAAAAGTATCTGAGACAAGTGTCAATCAATTTTGAGGTTTATTTTGCCAAGATTAAGGGCATGCCCAGAAGAAAAAAAACACAAAATCACAGAAACAGTCTGTGGTCTGTGCCTTTCTCCAAAAGCAATTTTGAGGGCTTCAGCATTTAAAGAAAAAAATGTGGGCTGGAGGGGAAAGAGGGAGAGTATGGTAATCCACATGTTGCCAAAGAAAAGAAACAGGTAGGGGAATACTCAATTATTTATACATGCTGTGCTCAGTAAATCAGTACTTTATATAAGATAAGGTGGATATAGAGTAGCTACCTGTGAAGATATTTAACACTTTATTTGTAGCTATCTGCTTAGGAACAAAGGAAAGGCAGTTTCTTGCATTGTTATGGGATACTTCAGTTGCTTCACCAGCTGGAAACCTCTGTGGCTAGTGGTGCCTTTACCTGAGTTTTGCTTGGGCCTGCTGGGCTTATTTCACCCACTCAGCCGGTGGGCTGCACTCAGCTTATGTTACCAACCTGGATCCCACACCTGCAAAGGACAAGCCAGACACAGAGTGGTGAGTGGTGCAAGAGTGAATGAGTGTGTGGTCCAGCCACTGTGCACAGCCAAGCATGCTGACTGCAGCAGGGTGGGCAGCCCCAGGTGCTGTCATGGGCACTGGCTCCCTGCGAGGCTGCAGCTGGACCAGGAGTACCACAAGTGGCTTCCATGGCAGGCACAGGGGAACATGGTGTTGCCCAGAAGTTTGGAGTCACCAGGAATCACCAAGCCCCAAAGAGAGTGTCACAGTCCTGGCTCAGGGAGCTCCTAGGTCTGGGATCCCCAAAAGGATGCAGCTCTTCTCTCCTTCTCATCACCTGTAATGTGGCAAGTGGAGGTCGTATTTCAGCTCGGTTTGTGTTACAGCTCTTTCAGTTTCACCCCTGCCATTCAGCAGTCCTGAGTTCTTGTCCTACATCCAGGAAGAATGAGGTACTCAGAGAAGTGGAGAGTGAGAAAAGCAAAGAGGTGTTTTATTGAGCAACAGAACAGCTCAGAGGAGACCCACAGTGAGTAGCTCTGCTCTGCAGACAGGTTGTCTAAATGTCTGCTCAGCTCTCAGCAGAGAGAATACCCACAGTGGGTAGCTCCTCTTTGAAGGCAGGTCATCTTGATGTCTGCCTGAGTAAGGCTCAGTCAGGGGCTTTTATGGGCTTCAGAGGGGAAGAGGGTGTCCTGATTAGTCCACAGGCAGACATTGGCAGGCCCAGAAAAAGCACAGTAAGTTCTCACTCTGGTCTGTGGAACTGGCAACCTGGCCCCCAGGCTTCAGGCCATCCCAGGCCTAAAGGGGGAGCTTCACTGGGGACCCACCCCTTTCCATCCAGGAACTTGTCTTCCTCCTAACACCATTAACCTGCCACCCATGGTGGCCATGGCACCCAGGCTGTCTGTGTCAAGTGGTGCCTACAAGCCCATGCCAAGTCATCCTTAGTCCCCCTTCAGCCTCTCTCCCATGCTCATCAGTGCTCAATGTTCAGAGAGGGTCAAGGCATCAGCAGGCTGGTGTGTCAACACTGCCCTGAGCATGAGCACACCTGGCCAGGTCATGACAGCACCCAGGCTCAGCCACAACTTCACTCTAAAATTGGAGTGGGTGCTGGGAGTGGGCAGAGGCCAGGCAGTGGGAGCAGGCACTTCCAAGCCTGTGGGGAAGGGGGGCTTCCTGGGCCCCCGAGAGTGCAGAGATGCCTGAGTCCACAGCCATGACTGGGCTTCTGCAGCTGTGCCTGGGAGAGTGGAGTTCCAGCCCCAACAACTTGGAAGAGGGTGGGGCTCCCACCTGTTCTCAGCTCCTGCCAGCTCCACAGAACATGTAGCCCTGGCCATGCCTCCCCTGCTGCAGTTGGTCTTTTTGCAGCAGCTGCTCAAGACAAGCCACCGCTGCCATCACCCTGCTTCACCCGAAGAGGTACATCTAACTGCCATTAGGATACAGACAATGACCACTCTTAACTCCTTCATGCTGACAGGGGGCATTCTGGGAAAAATGGCAGTCAGATCTCTCTCAGAGGCCTATCTAAAGGCCCCTGGTAAAAGGAGAGCCATTTTCTGAGGCTCCAGTTGCATGTCCACTTGGAGTTTGATGGTTTCTAGGTGAGAAGAAACAAATTTTACAAGGAGGTTAAGTATGCAAAGGAAAAAATCTAGTGCCAAAAGATAACAGAAATAAGAAATAAAATAGACTAATCATTCTGAAAACAGTGTTGTGGCTAGAGCTGTTTCACCCTGGTAAAAGGAATTAAATCTTGTATGGAGGCAGTTAAACTTTAAAAGAGAAATAACTGTTTAGGGGAGTAGATAATCCCTTGGGAGTTCAGGATTAAGGGGTCCTTGATGAAGATGCCCTATGGCAAGGAAGAAAAGTGAGAAGAGCAAGCATAGGATATTCATGGAGGGTTAATTGTTAGTAATTCTCTTTTGAGATTGTTAGCTTGAGGTCCCTGATTTATTCACTCTGGTACTTTGGGTGCTCTCCTGGGTCAATGGAGGTAATTTCATCAGTTTCCCAGGACTTCACGCTAGTATAATGAATTCAAGAATCTATTCCAGTGACATTTACTGCCGTAGGTGTAGAAAGAAGTACAGTTTAAGGTCCCTCCCATTCTGGTCCTAGAGAGGAAAAAGGGAAGGAAGTGCCTTTATCAGGACTAAGTCCCCTGGGTTGAATAGAGGTGGCCTAGTTCATGGTACTGGGCCTCTGACAGTTGTTTCAGTTCATGTTGGAAATGGGCCAAATAATGTACATATTTAGTTAAATCAGAGGTTTCTTGGTCTAGCAAGAAATTATTGGTGAGTAAAGGTCATCCACACATCATTTCAGGGTTACCTAAACTCAGATTTGAAGGGGTATTTCTAACACATAGTAGGGCTATGAAGAGAAGAGTAATCCAAGGGAGATGAGTCTCTTGAGACAGATTTCTGAGGTGCCTTTTAATAATATCATTTGTCTTTTCTACCTTTCTTGAGGAGTGTGGTCTCCTGGCACAATGAAGATGGTATTCTATGCCTAGTGCCTTTGAGATACCCTTTGACAGCTGCCTTGAATGAGGGGCCATTATCTCTCTGGAGGCACCCAGGAAGTCCAAAGTGAGGAGTTATTTCATTAATCAGTACTTTTATCACCTCAGAGGCTTTCTCTGTTCAACATGTAAATGCTTCTATCTAGTTAGTGAAGATATCTACCCATACTAGGAGGTACTAGATGCCCCTTGTCTTTGGCATATGGTTGAAATCGACCTGCCAGTCTTCCCCTAGGTAGCTTCCCATTCTTTGGGTTCTGGTGGGGAGAAGATGTCGACTGAGAAGATTATGTTTAAGGCAAGTCTCACAATGAATGACCCATTTGACTGTTTTTAGTAGATTTTTACCTGAGAGCAGCCTTTGGGCCACTTGATAGGTTTTATCCTTACTTAGCTGGAAGGCATGGTGGAGAATTTTGAGAACTTTCCATTGGTTGGTAGCTGGTAGATGAAGCTTGCCATCCTCCAGTTGCAACCATCCTGAGGACTGAAGTGTGTATCCCTGAGAGGTGGCCCATTCTCTCTCTGCAGAGGAATACTGAGGTTTTATTTCTTTCATGGAGCCCTCCCAGATCAGAGGGGCCTCAAGTGGATCAGAAATATAGGGCCCTCTTGCTGCTGGTTTAGCTGCCTGGTCTGCCAACTTATTTCCCTCAACTCTTTCGTCCATCCCCTTTTCATGGCCTTGACAATGTATTGCTTCCACTTCTTGTGGAAGGAAGGCCAAGGATAATAGTCTGTTAATTTCCTGATGGAATTTATTGGGAGACCCATTGGCTGTGAGGAACTTCTTCTTTCCAGATAGTGGCAAGGGCATGGAGGACTAGAAAAACATATTTAGAATCAGTATAAATGTTAACTGGTTTCCCTTTGCTTAATTCAAGTGACCTCATGAAGGCAATTAGCTTAGCTAGTTGAACATTTCTGTCCACCGAGAGAGCTGTGCTCTCAATAATGTCACTTAGGGTGGCCATTGCATACCCTGCCTTACAGATCCCTTGCTCTACAAAGGAACTTCTGTCCATAAAGGGAATCTAGTCTGTGTTCTCTAAGGGGGTTTCTTTGAGGTCCTCTCTGGCCACAGGTTTGCACTATTACCTGTTCGCAGCCATTTTCAAGCTCCTCATCTTTCTCTTGGAGGAAGGTGGAGGAAGGTGGCTGGGTTTAGGGAGGGACAGGTTTGTTTGTCTGTTAGTTTTTTTGAGACAGAGTTTTGCTCTTGTTGCCCAGGCTGGAGTGCAATGGCACGATCTAGGCTCACCACAACCTCTTCCTCCCGGGTTCAAGAGATTCTCCTGCCTCAGCCTCCTGAGTAGCTGGGATTACAGGCATGTGCCACCATGCCTGGCTAATCCTTGTATTTTTAGTAGAGATGGGATTTCTTCATGTTGGTCAGGCTGGTCTCAAACTCCCAAGTTCAGGTAATTTGCCCATCTTGGCCTCCCAAAGTTCTGAGATTACAGGCATGAGCTGGGAGGGGCAGGTTCTTAACTGGACTGCAGATGCCTCTAATAGCAAAGCTTGATATTTGAGGAAGCAGCTGTCCATTAGCCAGAGACTCCCTTAAGACAACAGTTCTGTCACATTATGTGGGATGTAAATGGTTAAGTTATTCCCCATTGTTAACTTATAGCTTCTGGTACTAGCGAAGCTACTGCTGCAACTGCCTGGAGGCAGGCTGGCCATCCTTTAGCTACCAAATCAAGCTCCTTGCTTAGGTAGCCTGCAGACTGCTGAGCTAGGCATCAGGCCAGGGTTAGAACTTCCAGAGTGATTCCCTTCCTTTCTGAGACATAAAGATTGAACATCTCCCCATTGGGAAGACTAAGAGCTGGTTTATCAAGCAAAACCTGTTTTAATTGGTCATAGGCCCTTTTAGCCTCTGGTTCCCAAGTTAGGAAATGGGTCTTAGCTGCCTGAGTCACCTTTATTAGATGATATACGGGATGAGCTATTTCACTGTACCCATGTATCCATAACCAGCAAAATCCTGTAATACCCTAGAATCCCCTCAATTGCTTGATGGTTTGGGTAAGGAAAAAGGAGGAGATGGGCTTGATCCTTTCTTCACCTAGTGCCCTGGTTCCCTCTAACAAGACTAGACCTAGGTACTTCACTGAAAGCCTGACAGAACCGAGCCTTAGATTTTGAAACCTTCTAGACTCTGTTAACGAGAAAGTAAGAAGAGCCTTGCTGCCTTCCTGAGAGATTTCCTCAGTTGGGGCACAAAGGAGAATGCCATCTACATATTGTAAAACTTTAACCTGATGATTAAGGGACTCAAGAGAGATCAATTAATGATGTCTGCCCAAACAGGTGGGGGCCATCTCAGAATCCCTGAGTTAACACAGTCTAGATTAACTGGGTGTCTTGGTTGGAGGGATTCTCAAATGCAAACAAATACTGGGAGTCAGGGTGTGATATGGTTTGGCTGTGTTCCCACCCAAAACTCATCTTGAATTGTAGTTCCCGTTATCCCCATGTGTGGTGGGAAGGACTAGGTGGAGATAACTGTTTCATGGCAGTGGTTACCCCATCCTGATCTTCTGAGAGTGAATTAGTTCTCATGAAATTTGACGGTTTTATAATGGAATTCCTCCTTCACTAGGCATTCCTTCTCTCCCCTGCTGTCCTGTGAAGGGTTGCTTTCTGCCATACTTGCAGGTTTCCTGAGGCCTCCCCAGCCATATGGAACTGTGAGGCAATTAAACTCCTTCCTTTTGTAAGTTACCCAGTCTCAGGAACTCCTTTACAGCAGTGTAAGAATGGACTAATACAGTAAATTGGAAGCTGGTAGTGGGACGCTGCTGCAAGGATACTCAAAAAATGTGGAAGCAACTTTGGAACTTTCAGAGGTTAAGTCAGAGGCTAGGTAACAGTCAGAGGTTAGGACAGTTTGGAGGGCTCAGAGACAGGAAGATGTGGGAAAGTTTGGAACTTCCTAGAGAGTTGTTGAATGGCTTTGATCAAAATGCTGATAGTGATATTGACATTAAAGTCCAGGCTGATGTGGTCTAAGATAAAAATAAGGGACTTGTTGGGAACTAGAGTAAAGGTCACTCTTGCTAGGCATTTTGCCCCCATGCCCTAGAAATCTGTGGAACTTTGAACTTGAGAGAGATAATTTAGAGTATCTGGTGGAAGAAATTTCAAAGTGGCAAAACACTCAAGAGGAAGCAGAGCATAAAAGTTTGGAAAATTTGCAGCTTGATGATGTGAAAAGAAAGAAAAACCCACTTTGTGGGGAGACATTCAAGCCCACTGCAGAAATTCACATAAGTAATGAGGAGCCAAATGTTAATCACCAAGACAACGGGGAAAATGTCTCCAAGGCATGTCAGAGATCTTCAGAGTAGACCCTCCCGACAAAGGCCTGGAAGCCTACAAGGGAAAAATGGTTTCACGGGCAAGGCCCAGGGCCCCCCTGTTCTGTGCAGCATCAGGACACGGTGCCCTGCATCCTAGTTGCTTCAGCTTCAGCCGTGGCTAAAAGGGGCCAACATACAGCTCAGGCCATTTCTTTAGAGGGTGCAAGCCTCAAGGGTTGGTGGTTTTCACGTGGTGTTGGGCCTGTGGGTGAACAGAAGTCAAGAACTGAGGTTTGGGAATCTCTGTCTAGATATCAGAGGGTATATGGAAATGCCTGGCTGTCCAGGTAGAAATTTGCTGCAGGAGCAGAGTCCTCATGGAGAACCTCTGCTAGGGCAGTGTGGAAGGCAAATGTGGAGTCAGAGCCCCTACACAGCATCCACACTGGGGGACTTCCTGGTGGAGCTGTGAGAAGACAGTCACTGTCTTCCAGATGCCAGAATGGTAGATTCACCAACAGCTTGCACTGTGCACCTGGAAAAGTGGCAGACACTCAATGCCAACCCATGAAAACAGCCAGGAAGGGAGCTGTACCATGCAAAGACACAGAGACAGAGCTTTCCAAGGTTGTGGGAGCCCACCTCTTGCATCAGTGTAACCTGGATGTGAGACATGGAGTCAAAGGAGATCATTTTGGAACTTTAAGGTTTAGTGACTGCCCTATTGTATTTTGGACTTGCATGAGGCCTGTAGCCTCTTCATTTTGGACAATTTTTCACATTTGGAATGGGTGTATTTACCTAATGCCTGTAACCCCACTGTATCTAGGAAGTAACTAACTTGCTTTCAATTTTACAGGCTGATAGGTGGAAGTAACTAGCTTTGTCTCAGATGGGACTTTAGACTTGGACTTTTGAGTTAATGCTGGAGTGAGTTAAGACTTTGGGGGACCATGGGAAAGGCGTGGTTGTGTTTTGAATTGTGAAGACCTGAGATTTGGGAAGGGCCAGGGGTGGAATGATATGATTTGGCTGTGTTCCCACACAAATCTCACCTTGAGTTGTAGTTCCCATAATCCCTATGTGTTGTGGCGGGGACCAGGTAGAGATAATTGAATGCTGGGGCCAGTTTCTCATCCTGTTCTTGTGATAATGATTTAGTTCTTATGGTAGTGAATAAGTCTCACAAGATCTGATGGTTTTATAAGGGGTTTCCCCTTTCACTTGGCTTTCATTCTCTCTTGCCTGCTGCCATATAAGACATGGTTTTGCCTTCCACAGTGATTGTGAGGCCTCCCCATCCACGTGGAACTGTGAGTTCATCGAATTTCTTTTTCTTTATAAATTACCCAATGTCAAGTATGTCTTTATTAGCAGCATGAGAATGAACTCATACAAATGGTATGCAGAAAAAGGAATCCTTTAGTCCAGGCATGTGAGCCATTTGGTTCCCTCAGCTATTTGAGTTAGAAGGGTATAGGGATTGGGGACCACAAGATAAATTGGAACCACAGTTTCATTAATGAGGTGGAGGTCCTGGACCATTCTCTATTTCCTGTTGGGTTTTTGTCCCTCCAATATTGGGCTATTATGCTGTTGCAGGGTTTGAGGAGGTCTTTCATCCTCAAGTTATTGATGACGGCTTCTAGTCCTTTTCTAACTTCTTATTTTAGGGGATAGTGTCTCTGGTTAGGAAAGGAGGTAGGATCCTTAAAGTGGATCTGGACCAGTGTGGTGATTGTGGCTTGGCCTAGTTTCCCTTGAGGTGCCCAAACTTCTGGGTTAATATTGGTCTCCACTAGGGTGGAGAAAAAGACTCTGTCTTGGAGCCGTAAGGATGGTGGCTCCCATAGGAGCCAAACTATCCCTGCCCAACAGAAGAGTTGGGCTTTCAGGCATTATTTAAAAGGCAGGAGTAAACAAGAGGTTTCCCCATCTACAGCTAAGAGATTGGGAAAAATATCGGGTTATAGGCTTTCTTGAGGCACCCCTCACTGTTGTGCTAAGAGAAGAGGCGGGCCTGGATTGGAGATGAGAATGGAAAGGCCTGCTTTGGTGACCATGAAGAGTTCCACCTTCCTCCCTTCAACTTCCAAAATCACCCCGGGACCCAGGATGGCAATGGTAGTCTGGATCAGCAGAGCTGGGGAGAGGAGCCCCGGAACCTGTCAGTCCTGCTGGACCATTTGGGAAACTGGCTCTGGACCCAGTGACCTGTGTCTCTGTAAACAGTCTGCCCTCCAGTGGTCCCCATCAGAAATTGGATAGGGTTGAGGTGGCTTCCTTATGTTGCCTGGGCAGTCCTTCCTAAATTGCCCTGGCTTGCCCCATTCGTAGCAGGTAACATGTATATCTTGGGGGCTCTGAGGTTTGTGAGCCTGCAAGGCCACTATTAGAGCCTCTACCTTTTTCTTGTATTTATTTTCTCTTTTTTGGACTTCCTCCCAATCCCTATTGTGAAAGACCAAGTTGGTCACTTTCAGGAGGTTCTCTAAAGTGCTATCTGGTGTTGTAGCCTGTTTTTGCAGCTTCGTCCTGATATCACAAGCTACCGAAGTAATAAACTTATCCTTCAGGATCAGTTGTCCCTTCACTGGATCAGGAAATAGAGAGGTGTGCTTTACCAAGGCCACACTTAGCCTTTCTAGGAAGGCAGTGGGATTCTCATCTAATCCCTTGTCTACCAGGGATGGCTTGTAGTAATTGAGAGGCTTAGTTCTAGTCCTTTGTAAGCCCACTAGTGTGCATGCCTGAAAGTGTTTCCTTTTCCATTCTCCCATTTCACCACTGGGGCCCCATTTAGGGTCCTCCAATGGTACTGATATTTTTCCATTTGGATAAGGCTCCTCCTCTTCCCTGGCACTATATGAGATACAAAGCTCATCCCCAAAATTCTCTGCTTCTTGCAGGGTGACCTGCTTTTCCATGGTAGTCAGGGTTTGATTAAAAACTAACATAACATCCTCCTAGGAGAGCTCAAATACTTAGGTTAAATTCTGCAAAGCCTCTATATACCGGTCAGGATAGTCTGAAAACTTGCCAAGATTCCCCTTAATTTGTGTTAAGTCTTGTAGAGAAAAGGAGACTTGGCCCTTAATGGGGCCATATTCACCAGACATCTGTTTTAGGGGAAGGAGTGAGAGGGGGACTCACCTAAAATGAGGATTTCTAGGATGGGGAAAGTCCAAGAGAAAACCTGGATAGGGAGGAGGGGATGAAGTTTACTCCCCTGCTGGAGGTACCTTTAGGGTTTGCTTACCTAGTTTCCTGGGATTGCCCCTTGCAGCATCTCCTGAGATGGCTGCCAGGAGGACTGAATCAATCCTACAATGTTGGCAAAGGTCCAGACTACCCTGCAAGGCAAAGAAAGCCTGGACATGTGGGACCTCAGACCATTTGCCCTCACATTTAAAGAAAAGATCCAGGGAAAGGAATGTATTGAAATTAATGCTTCCTTTCTTTGGCCATGCTTCTCCTTCCTGCAGAACATAATTCAGTCACACTTTTGTGCAAAGTAATATGAGGTGCATTTTCTAAAGAGTCCGAGGGTCAAAGGAGTCTCAGGGATTCAGGATACACTCTAGAGGAGTGTAGGCTGAAGATGATTGGTTACCCATGTAGTAGAGAGGACAGAGGAGGAAAAAGGCATTTGTTTCTCTTTCCAGACTCTGAGGGTCAAAGAGGTCCCAGTGATTCAGGATGCACTCCAGAAGAATGCAGGCTGAATATAGTTGGTTTCCCATCTGGAAAGAGGAGAAAAAAGGGCACTCTTTTTCTCTTTCTCTTTCCAGTGAATACCAGGGGTATGTGAAGGAGAGAAAAAAAAGGTGTCTCCTTCTTTCTTCTGATCTTATATCTCCAAGTTCTGGTGACATTCGCAGGTGCCGACCATGGGAGCAAGTGTGACCTTCACCCATGAAGCGGGGAGGCATAGCTAGCAGGAATATCCTCAATCACCTAGGCAGAGCCTAAGCCTCCTGCTGCTAGAAATTTTTGAGTTCCCTAGACCTTGTCTGTGTCATGGATATGAGCATAACCTCCATTCATGAAGCAAGAGGGCCTAATTGGCAGAAATCAGTCATGCTAACCTGCATGACTAATTTTGCTTTCCAGGGCTTCAACCCAAAGCTTGGAATTGCCTCCAGAGGGTGTATGGACTCAATAGATCCCAGGTGGCCCTCACCAAACTGCTGCCAGCAGCTGGTGGGGCAGCCCCTTCCCTTGCTTTCCTATCATAAGCAGCTGAAACTGTGGGACCAGGTCCTCCTCAAACAAGGGAGAGAAAGGGAGTCCTGGGCATTGGGTAACTGGCCTAACAAGGTGCCTCCCAAGAGGAAAAATCAATAGAAAATCTCCCTGTATTCATAGAACTTTGTTGACTGCTGACATGATAGAGGAAAGAGAAGAAAACAACTTAAGTGCAGGGGAGGGGAAGGTGCCTGGAGGAAAAAGCTTCTTGCCCTTTGCAAATGGGTTCCTTCAACAGGGGAAAGAAAACTCGATTGTTACATCCTCCTTGCTTCTAAGAATAGACAGAAACCATTGATCCAATTTACACTCTTGATGACCAAGCCAAATGCACACTCTACCCAGTAATATTATCCCTGAGGTTTGCAACGATACCCTTTACATTGTATATAAAGAAGAGACAGTAGGCTTGACAGCCACAAAAGAAAGAAAAGAAAGAGAGAAAGGAAAAGAAAAGAGAAAAGAAGAAAGAAAAAGAAAAGAAAGAAAGAGAAAGAGAGAAAGGAGGGAAGGGAGGGAAGGAGGGAGGGAGGGAGGGAAAGACTGGAGGTCCTAGTGCTGACACCCTAATAGGCAGTCGGGAATTGAGTTACTCCAGAGCCCTTTGCATAACACTGAGTTGTATCCTCAGCCAAATACCCTGAGTTGCCCCAGAACCTCCTTCTGATCCCATGCAATGGCTAGACCTCTGTGAAGGGAAACTGAATTGGAACAAGGCCAACATTCCCAACACCCAAGGGTGATGGGAGATTGACAGTGTCCTCCCCAGCAAGCCTGTCATCCATGTAAGTCTGGCATTCATGCTAGTTGCTTTTTTTTTTATTTTTTTTTTTATTTTTTATTTATTTATTTATTTATTTTTGAGATGGACTCTCACACTGTCGCCCAGGTGGAAGTGCAATGGTGTGATCTTGGCTTACTGCAACCTCAAGCTCTCAGGTTCATGCAATTCTCCTGCCTCAGCCTCCAGAGTAGCTGGGATTACAGGTGCACACCACCACACCTGGCTAATGTTTTGTACTTTTAGTAGAGATGAAGTTTCACTATGTTGGCCAGACTGGTCTCAAACTCCTGACCTTGTGATCCACCTGCCTCAGCCTCCCAAAGTGCTGGAATTACAGATGTGAGCCACCATGGCTGGCTCATGCTAGTTGGTTTTTACTGGCTGACGGAGGCCCAGTATTTTTCTTTCATTTTCGCTTTTGTGGAGTTTAGACTGCAAAAAGAGGACAGAAAACAGCAAGTCTACTTTTACTCATGCTTCCACAGATCCCAGATGAGCCCCCGAAAATGTCACAGGATCCTTGGGGTGTTGTTTCACCAGCTGAAAACCTTTGTGCCCAGTGTCACCTTTGCCCAAGTTTTGCTTAGGCCTGCTGGGTTCATTCTACCCACTTGGCCTGGCAGGCTGTGCTTGGCTCATGCTACTGGCCTGGACTCCATGCCTGCCAAGGGCAAGCCAGGTGCAGAGTGGAGAGGGATGCATGAGCATGCAAGCATGGGGGTCTTTCCACTGCACAGAGCCAGGCATGCTGGCTGCCACATGGCAGGCAGCTACACACACAAGCATGGACACTGGCTCCCTGCAAGGCTGTGGCTGGACCAGGTGTGCCATAAGCAGCTTCCACTGGGGGCACCATGGAACTTGGTGGCACCCTGAAGCTTGGAGTTGCCAGGAACCACAGAGCCCCAAAGAAGGTGTCACAGCCCTGGCTCAGGGAACTCCTAGGCCTATGCTCCCCGAAGGGCCGTAGCTCTTCTCTCCTTCTGTCATCTCCTTCTCATCACTGCAATGTAGTGAGCAGGGGTGTGTTTCAGCCCTGTTTATGTTACAGCTTTTTCAGCCCCGCCATTCAGTGGGTCCTGAGTTCTTGTCCCATGTCCAGGAATAATAAGTTAGGCAGGCAAGTGGAGGGTGAGCAAGGTGAAAATGTGCTTTATTGAGTGACAGAACAGCTCAGCAGAGACCCACAGTGGTTAGCTCCTCTTTGCAGACAGGTCATCCTGATGAGAGTCCAGCTCACAGCAGAGAGGAGACCTACAGTGGGCAGCTCCTCTCCACAGGCAGGTTGTCCTGACATCTGCCCAAGTCTGGCTGAGTCCAGGGTTTCTGTGGGCTTCAGGGGGAGAAAGGGCATGCTAATTTGTCCACAGGCAGCCATGTGCAAACCCAGAAAAACACTATAAGTTCTCACTTCGGTCCACAGAACTGGCAGCCTGCCCACCTGACTTCAGACCATCCCAGGCCTGAAGAAGGGGCTTTACTGAGGACCAGCCCCTTTCCTCCCAGGAGCCTGTCTGCATCCTGCTGCCACTAACCTGCCCTTCATGGTTCCCAAGCACCCAGGCTCCCTGTGCTGAGGGGTGCCTACAGGCCCATGATGAGCCACCCTTAGCTCCCCCCTCAGTCTCCCTCCCATGCTCACTGGCTCCCAATGTCTGGAGGGGGCTGAAGCAGCAGAAGGCTGCCTTGTCAGCACTTCCCCAAACACAAGCACACCAGCTGGGTTGTGACAGTGCTCAGGCTCGGCCACAACTTTGCTCTGAAATTGGAGGGGGCACCAGGAGCAGGGAGAGGCCAGGCAACTGGAGCAGACTCTTTCAAGCCTTCAGGAGGACTTCCCAGGACCCCCAGATGCAGAGATACCTGGGTCTGCAGCCATGGCTGGGTGGCTACAGCTACGCCAGGACAGTGGGATCTCTGCCCCACCAACTTGGAAGGGGATGAGGATCCCTGTCTCTTCCCAGCTCCCACAGGCTCTGTGGAGTGCACAGCCCCAGCCACACTTCCCCCACTACAGCCAGTGTATTTGCAGTGGCCACTCCAGACTGGCTGCCACTGCTATCATCATGACTTGACTTTCAGCTTAATTTTTTTCCTTTTGTGCATAATCAATTGGAGTTCCAAGTTTTTACTTTCCTTTCACATTTCTACATCCCCCTCTTTCCTTTTTAAAATCTTTCAGAGAAAACATTTTAGAAGAAAATTCATCTCTGGTATTGGGTTTTGTCTGATCTCTTCAGCTAGGATGGTTATTCCTAGACAGATAGGTCCCATATTGTAAGAAAACCTCATTTTTAGCAGGGTGTGAAGTTTCATATCCCAGGAAGAAAATATAGAGAGTAAGAAAGAAATAAAATGAGGGGAAAAAGGGGGAAATAATATACAACAACAACAAAAAAGGGGAAACAATCCTAGAAAACTGATATAGGCCATATTATTCAGAAGTCTATACCTCAGCAGGCAGGCATAAAATCGTTCATGTATATAAATAGATTGCTGTCATTTTCTTCTAAAGTTTAAGTGTTTAGCTTCAGTTTTCAAGGCATTAAGTAAAGTACAGCTTAATTTTTAGTGATTTCAAATCAGTAAAAAAATGGGAAAAAAGAAAAATAATAAAGAAGGAAGGAAATAATAACGAAGAAAAAAAACTAAAAACATTATTTTGGAGACTTGTAGCCAGGAAAAATTTTAGGACTCAGTCCAAATTGTAGAAAACAATAAAAGTTGGAAAATATTGTACAAGGCTAGAATCCAATTAACAGCTGTACTATAGTTTATTTTGAAACATAATTTTTCTCTCTCCAATTCCCCAATTTTTTTTTTTAATTATACTTTAAGTTTTAGGGTACATGTGCACAATGTGCAGGTTAGTTACATACGTATACATGTGTCATGCTGGTGTGCTGCACCCACTAACTCGTCATCTAGCATTAGGTATATCTCCCAATGCTATCCCTCCCCCCTCCCCCCACCCCACAACAGTCCCCAGAGTGTGATATTCCCCTTCCTGTGTCCATGTGATCTCATTGTTCAATTCCCACCTATGAGTGAGAATATGCGGTGTTTGGTTTTTTGTTCTTGCGATAGTTTACTGAGAATGATGTTTTCCAATTTTATCCATGTCCCTACAAAGGACATGAACTCATCATTTCTTATGGCTGCATAGTGTTCCATGGTGTATGTGTGCCACATTTTCTTAATCTAGTCTATCATTGTTGGACATTTGGGTTGGTTCCAAGTATTTGCTACTGTGAATAATGCCACAATAAACATATGTGTGCATGTGTCTTTATAGCAGCATGATTTATAGTCCTTTGGGTATATACCCAGTAATGGGATGGCTGGGTCAAATGGTATTTCTAGTTCTAGACCCCTGAGGAATCGCCACACTGACTTCCACAATGGTTGAACTAGTTTACAGTCCCACCAACAGTGTAAAAGTGTTCCAATTTCTCCACATCCTCTCCAGCACCTGTTGTTTCCTGACTTTTTAATGATTGCCATTCTAACTGGTGGGAGATGATATCTCATTGTGGTTTTGATTTGCATTTCTCTGATGGCCAGTGATAATGAGCATTTTTTCATGTGTTTTTTTGGCTGCATAAATGTCTTCTTTTGAGAAGTGTCTGTACATGTCCTTCGCCCACTTTTTGATGGGGTTGTTTGTTTTTTGCTTGTAAATTTGTTTGAGTTCATTGTAGATTCTGGATATTAGCCCTTTGTCAGATGAGTAGGTTGCGAAAATTTTCTCCCGTTTTGTAGGTTGTCTGTTCACTCTGAGGGTAGTTTCTTTTGCTGTGCAGAAGCTCTTTAGTTTAATTAGATCCCATTTGTCAATTTTGTCTTTTGTTGCCATTGCTTTTGGTGTTTTAGACATGAAGTCCTTGCCCATGCCTATGTCCTGAATGGTAATGCCTAGGTTTTTTTCTAGGGTTTTTATGGTTTTAGGTCTAACGTTTAAGTCTTTAATCCATCTCGAATTGATTTTTGTATAAGGTGTAAGGAAGGGATCCAGTTTCAGCTTTCTACATATGGCTAGCCAGTTTTCCCAGCACCATTTATTAAATAGCGAATCCTTTCCCCATTGCCCATTTTTCTCAGGTTTGTCCAAGATCAGATAGTTGTAGATATGTGGCGTTATTTCTGAGGGCTTTTTCTGTTCCATTGATCTATATCTCTGTTTTGGTACCAGTACCATGCTGTTTTGGTTACTGTAGCCTTGTAGTATAGTTTGAAGTCAGGTAGTGTGATGCCTCCAGCTTTGTTCTTTTGGCTTAGGATTGACTTGGTGATGTGATTTTTTTTTGAGAGGGAGCCTTGCTCTGTCACCCAGTCTGGAGTGCAGTGGCACAATCTCTGCTCACTGCAACCTCCACCTCCCAGGTTCAAGTGATTTTCCTGCCTCAGCCTCCTGAGTAGTGGAACTGCAGGCACACATCACCACAACCAGCTAATTCTCAATTTTATTGAAGACAAAATCATAGCTGGAGCAATTTCTTTGTAAACTAAGTTTTATTCTTATTATATTTGGTTTGATTATTTGCATGAAGTTCAGTAAGAATAATCATTTAACAGGCAGGCTCTCTCTTTTTCTTAACATTGTCTTTGCTAGAACCTTTTCCTTAAGGAATCTAAGATTAGACCTGTTTAGAAAGCTTTGGCCCAGCCAAGGATTCATCTGTGCTTGTAGATACCTGTATGAATTAGTTGAATTCTGTTTTCAAAGTCCCAATAAAACTTGGAGTTTCTGGACCTATCAGAGAGTGGCATTCTTCACTTATCACAGGTCAGGACCCTGAAAAAGACAAGGTATGAGGCCAGTTTCTTTCCAAAGGGCTTTTATTGAAGCTATAGATCAGCTTCATTTTCTCAAACTTATCTGAAAATATGTCATTCCAGTCAAGGCCTTGGTAAAATAACCAGTGTCTCCAGTTATTCCTTGTTATAAAAGAAAGCAGATTCTTATTGAACTTATGCAAATAACTATATTACCATAAATTAATAATACTCACAAATAGTTTCCAAATTTTGGATAAATTATGTAGAAAGAAAGGAATTATGTTTTAAATTTTGCTCACTATATTATACTTTACTCAATTGTTAAAAGCTGTAAATAGCTTAAAAGAAAAAATTTTCTTGACTCAAAAACAACAAAAAAAGTATCAGCAAATATTTGTAACAAAAATTCATAAAAGATGATTTCAGTCTTCTGTTAGTATACCCCATACTAACAGCTGATCTGCTCAATCAGAACAACAATTGGAGCAACAATCCTCATGAATACATGGGCTCTCCATGAGGGTTCTGAAAGTTTTTCTCTATTCCGATGGTACAAGCTCTAAAGTTACCAGAAACTTTTATTTAAGAGTACACTGCATAGTTCTGTAGCTGATGATAAATGGTTGTATAAAAGGATCAAAGTAAAACATCACTTGTGGATGACAAAAACATTAGGACAGACATGATAAAAGACACAACAAGGAAATTTGGTTATTTCTGTGGTATACAGCAATTTTACATAATAATTATGACTACTGATAACATATGCTAAGACATCAGAGTCATAATCTCACACAATTTTGGAACACACACTAATAACACAGTAAATAAATATAATCCATAGAGAGGTTATTATTTGACAATGCTACCTTTGTGATTCTATTATTCCAAATAAGCCAAATATGTCTCTTTTTGACTACAGAGGACCTAACATCAAAAAATTAATGGGGTTAAAGGGACCAAATTCAATTTGATTTCTGAAAGAGTTTGTCAAACACTTGATATCACAAAGTAGGATCACAGGTCATTGTAAAATAATTCATTCATTTAGCCAAAGTAATAACTCAAAATTTTCAAAAGAAAAAAACCTTTATTCTTTGAGGGAAGAGACTTAATTTCCTAAACAATAAGCCCTAGTAAAGACAGCATAAGATGACTTAAATCTGTCTCTCAACATTTATAAGCAAATCAACTAAATTTTAATCATCTTGACCATAAGATATAACTTTCACAAAACTTTTTGTAACTTTGCATAATATTTTAATTTAAAAGTAGTTTAATGCTTCAGAAAAACCTTGTTAACTTGACCTAGGGGCCCAGATACTGGTCATGCATCAGTGCGCCTTTGATATTAATGTTTAATTTACAAAGAAATTCTGAACTAATTTTATCTTTTAAAATTGGCCCTTACAGCCTCATGTGCACACCTCTTCCTCAGTAGTCCCTAGGCATAGAGGGGTTTAATAGCTTTAATTCTGGCCCCATGTCTCAGTAATGCATTTTGTTTTGATTGTCATCTTCTCCCGGATCTGAAGATGAGGCTTTAACTACTGTCACACGTTCAGATTTAGCAGGACTTGGATTTTTAGATACAGGAGTCAAGGCCCTGTAACTTAACAGCACAAAGACTTTAAAAGCAATACAAAAACTTACATGGATGTTATAACTTTAATTTTTAAAAATTTTAAAATCTGTTTTCCTAAGCAAATGAAAAACTTAATAATAATGAAATAGAAACTATTCTGATTAAATGTAAAATCCAGTTGTTAGGCCATTACCAAAAGGCAAAAAAAAAAAAAAAAAAAAAAAAAAAAAAAAAAGACTTCCTACATTGTGATTGCTTTCCCTCCATAAGGATTCTATTTACATAACCTGCAAGTCAAAAATGAATAGGGTACTTAATTAATTATATATAGGGAGAATGTGCCCTGGGTCATAAGTGAAGATTTTCACGTATGTTTTCATAGAACATTTTAGACATATTAAGAAAAGCCAAGAGCACAGAATGTTATATTGGAAGAAAACATTCCCTCTAGACCTTTAAGATAAAACATTTTTATCATCAGGCCACAACAGCAGTTAGAACCTGAGGGAAAAAAAATTACAGGAGCTGACAAAAAAGTTGAAACAGAGAATTATTATCTCAGATCTCCTCAAAGGGGAGAGAAACCTGAAAATAACATGATGTAATAGGAGTTAAACTTTTGATTTACAAAATTAAAATCTCTTGTAATTTTATTAAGAGTAAGTCAATATTTTCAGAAAATTTTGTTGTTCTAGCCAATTTTTTAGAGTATTAAAATATTTTAAATATCAAAACCCAATCTCTTGAAAGACTATAATTTCCTCTTAATTATAGCCAACTTGATCAAATGCAGTTTTTTCCATAAATTCTCTTTTTACAAACTTCATTGTGACTTATGTAAACCATTTATGACATGCTTGGACTTTCTGTTTTATTATAACCATCCCTCTTTCTTAAATAGTCATTTTATTTTGTGACAAAGAAGTTACCATACACGATTCTTTCTCATAGAGAATTATTTTCCTTTTAACCTTTCTTACCAAAAATACCTCTTTATGTCTAGAACTTTCTTTACATCTCTGTTATTTACTGGCTCTTTTTACCTTGTTTCTTAAAAAGCCTTTAAATATGATAAAAATTAATTCCTTTTAGTAAAAGTTTTTTAGAAGATTGTTTTCCTATAATATATTTTTTTTAAATTGGAAATGACCAAGATATTTAGTTGGTATATATTATTTAATTTAGTATACCTTTAGATTCTAAATTATATGACAAGTTTTTTATAAGCATTTATTTCCTTATATTTACTTAATTAATTTTAATAGTTTATTTAGATTACTTAAGAAAACTGTGATATTCATTATTTAGTTATTTCCATATTAATTTTTGTAACCTGCAAATTTCAGGTGTTTTCCTGAGTAAGAATTTTAAGGTTAAATAAATATTTTGGTTGTTTTTTCCTCCAATAACTCAGGATTTAATTGTTTTCATTAAACCAACAATATTAGATAACACATTTATCAAAAATTTACAGTAAGATCATTCTGTTTTGGGCTGGGTTTATGCAAAATTTTAAATTTTGACACCTTATAATATCTTGCAGACATTTTAATTATAAAACCATTTGATCAATACATCTAAACAATAAAGCATGCTGACAAATCTGAAAACATCTCTAATTTTATTTTACCAACATATTAAGCAAGCTTTTTTAAAAAGATTTATTTAAGTCATATGAACTTGAAAAGCATCTGGGCTTATTTACTTAACTTTATGAATACTCCTTTAGTTTTAAGCCAATTTGGTACCTTGTGGCCACAACACACAACACACAACCAAACACAAATACATACACATAAACACATAAGCATGCATACACCCTTATACAAACAAAGATCCCACAGCTTTTCTTTTGGAACTTTAGCCATGAGATATCAAAACTCACTAGTATACAAAAAAAGGTTGGATGCAAACTGTGGGTTTTATTTCAACAGAAGTAGAAAAGTCCTCTAAACTAAAAAAATACATTTTCTTAGGAAAAAGCCATAACCTCATTTTTTTTTAATCTTCATCCAAAACATATCTTATTCTCCTGCTATTCTAATTCTTAGTAACCCTAATTCTTAGTTGAGGGCCTAGAATTATTTTATTTAACATAACATGGCTTTAAGATTTTAAATTACTGGAGATAATTTTGAGACTAAATTTATCAAATTAATCTTACCAAAGACTGCAAAAGTCATCTGAACTTAAAAGCCTTTAAGCTAGTTTCTATTAGTTTGATAAATTCTTACTTTTTTAAGCAAATTTTTTAGAGTTGTTTCATATAATTTGGTAGTAAAGTATCACCTCCAGATGGCACATATAAACATATAGACATGACAGACCTAGAGAGAAGCATATATTTTAGATTTATAATTTTGTACTTGCCTGTTTTTTTACTTGCCTTACTTTAGACTATTAATCTCTTGATTATATGTTCCATGTCCTAAACAATTGTTAACTAGGCAACTGTCAATTTGCATCTCCAAAGGCATGACTTAGGTGAAACAAGGTAGAAAATGTACATCTCAATGGCACAGACAGATTGATCTAAGCAAAGTCAAGGTCTGTTATGTAAACTTTAAGCTATAGTCTTTCCCCTAAAGGTCCTAGTGGTTTTCGGGAGAGACAGAGATGCCCTTAAAAAATGTGATTTCTTTAAAGTTGTAAATTTCCTTTACGAAGTATTTAATTAAAGTGATTGATTTTGACAGGTGATCCTTTTAATTTGGCTTCATTAGATTACTGGCTTTAGGGTGGAGTCTTTTAAGGAACAGGGCCAAGAAAGCATGCAGTTTTTAGGGATTAAACCATGACTTTCTTATTCAAATGTGCAAATAAACAAGTAGGTCCCTGTAGTAATGACCATTTCCTGTAAACTCTTTGCAGTCACTCCCTAACGTTGTAGCTCTCATCCACCATTACACACACCAAGATCAGATGCTCTCATAGTACAAAGTATTCTTTGGTATCACCAAAAGCCAAATAAATCAAGTAATACAATGCAAGAAAACAGAGCTGTAGACCTGAGAAGACTCTACCCATGACTCTTGAAACTCCACAAAGAAAGCAGAACATCTCCACAAGAGATGAGTGGTACATTTATTCTGAGTTGTTTAAGGGGTCTGAGTCATTAGATGTCTTCTCTAGGGTTTTTTTTTTTTCCTCAGTACTGAAGATGGCAAAAGGAGAGGAGAAATAGGGTGGTTGAAAGAAATAAACGAAAGAACAATTTTTAAGAAAGAAAGTGAACAGAGAAATCAAGTGTGTGGTTTTGTCTTTCTTTTTGAAACAGTGGGGAATTTTAGTTAGTTCAGAGGCCTTGTTCCTCATAATTTTGAATTCTCATTTGTATTTGGCAAAGCTGGGTAGAGTGGGTCAAATCTGATGGGAGAAAAACCAAAACAACAACAACAACAAAAAACAAACAACACAATTACTAAGCACTCTAATGGTAAAGAGAAATTAATGTCAGCTCGTTGTTAATCTTAACTTTTAGTCATTAAGGACGATTTTTAAGACAAAACCCCAATTTAGCAACTTACCTAGGAATGGGGCCCAGGCTTAATACTGCTCTCTACCACCTTAGAAGCATCAGAAAACTCAAACTTGCCTATCCTGTTGGAAGTGAGCTGAAACTCCAGAAAGAAGTTGTCTGCCCTCATCATCATAGAAGCAGGAAAACCTGCCTTCAGTGGTGGAAGTCGGCCAGAAAAGGAGTTCTACAGCAAAGTAAACCTTAGATCTCAACCAGATTTTAGCAGATTAGGGATTCTCTGGAGGGGAATGCTCCCAGGCCTCAGCAAATTGTCTTATTGGTTTGAGCCATAAAGATAGCCCAGGATGGTACCAAGCTCCCATAGGAGACGTGTCAAAGGTCAGGGCCACCTCCACTCAGAGTTCCTTCCATTGGTCACCAATTAGAAAACCAAAAGGTATCTGAGAAAGTCTCAATAAATTTAGAAGTTTATTTTTCCAAGGTTAAGGACATCCCCAGAAGAGAACATATCATGGAATCACAGAAAGTCTGTGATCTGTGCCTTTTTCCAAAATTGATTATGAGGGCTTCAATATTTAAAGGGAAAAATGGGTGAAGAGGAAAGAAGGAGGGTATCATAATCCACATGTTACAAGGGAAACAGAACAGGAAGAATAGTCAGTTATGTATTCATGTTGTGCTCAGTAAATCTGTACTTTGTATAAGATAAGATGAACATAGAGCAGCTACCTGTGGAGATATTTAACCTTTTATCTGTAGCTATCTGCTTAGGAACAAAAGGAAAGGCAGCTTCTCGCATGACTCAGCTTTCATCTTATTATTATTTTTTTTTTTTGGCATAGTGAATTGGGGTCCCTAGTTTTTCTTTACCTTTCACATGAAAAAAAGTCAACCTGAGAAAAATTATTCCATTCTTGTTAGTTAGAAGCAAACACATTTTTAGTTTTACAACATGCAACTATATTTTCTCTTCAATATGTGTGTATAAGTATCTATTTCTAAAAATAGCTACAAAACAGGTAAGTATATTTAAACTGTAATTAAATTTAATTTACATATAGCATGGCAAGTTACTGCGCATGAGCCAAGTAATATTTAATTCAACATTCAAGGCTGGGCATGGTGGCTCACGCCTGTAATCCCAACAGTTTGGGAGGCTGGGGCAGGTGGATCACTTGAGATCAGACGTTCAAGACCAGCCTGGCCAATGTAGTGAAACTAAAAATACAAAAATTAGCCAGGCGTGGTGGTGCACACTTGTAATCCCAGCTACTCAGGCAGTTGAGGCAGAAAAATTGCTTAAACCTGGGAGGTGGAGGTTGCAGTGAGCCAAGATCACACCACTGCACTCCACTGCACTGTTTGCCTGGGCAACAAAGTGAGGCTCTGTCTAAAAAACAAAACAAAACAAAACAAAAACTCAAAAAAAACCTCATTAAGTAGCTTCTTTTTTTATTTTTATATTTTTAAATAAAATAATTTTATGTACTCATAGATCAGAATTATTGGTTCTTATGTTAGATTTATTTTATGTGAGTAAAAAAAATTAAAATTTGTGTATGGTAAGTATTTTACAAATAAAAAGTAATTTTTACTGTGTCCTAAAATAGATTCTATAGACCAACCTAAAGGAAAACTCACTAAATAATTTTTAACTATTAGTTTCTGATCAAATGTAATGGCTAACCAAGAGAGTTGCACTTGGGGTAGTAGTCAAGGTCTGATTCTAGAAACACTTTCAGTTTAAGTTCTCCCCAAATAACTGATAGTCACAGAATCACCTCATGTTTCTGCCTCTGTAATAAATAGAAAGAAAGACACACACACACACACACACACACACACAAAACAAGGAATGTCTGAAAGTACATATTATTCCACAAAAAGTTTTATACCATGAAACTTAAGGCCTGAAATTGCTTAGGAGATCATTAGAATGTTAATTATTCCTCACCTCATTGATTGCTTATCAATGCAAATAGCAAAGAAAGAATTATTTTAATTAAAGGGAGGAAGAAATTGTGCCTTTATGGCTGATGTTCTGTATAAGAATAATTGCCTCATTAACCTTACTATATCAACTCCACCTCATTGTGAAGGTCAAATAAATGGATTTATGTACTTCTGAGTCACAGAATATTTTATACAAAGCATTGAAAGTGTTTCTATATTATTTGTTTGAGTTAAAAATTTAAAAACAATCCAAAAAATTAAGTAATATAGTTATAGAGACATATAATGTAACTATTATTATCTTTACATTATTTGTTCAGAGAAAGAATGATGACCCAGGCTGGCATAAACTATATGTGTTCTTGGAATAAGACATGATCAAAGTTGGAAATATTTCTTCTATATAAGACTTTAAAAATATAATGGCAAGATTCTTAAAGAGGGAGTTTAGAATATAAGATAAAATACAACCATGGCTCTGCTTATACAAAAAATTAGTGTGCTATTTTTAGGACACCACTTCAAGACGTGTCAGGATTCCTGGCCTATGTTAAATGACCATAGCAACATTGTTTCCTAAAATTTTTTGGAAACAGTTATCCTTCCTATTGTTAACTCTCTCTGAAATAAATTGAGCATGAACAAGACATTTTTCATTATAACGGGACTCTCAATTTAACAGAAATTGTCAAAGGATAAGAAGCCATTGGTTTAGTTTTAAGAGGCTGAACTGCTGATTAAATCCTCTGGATTTTCAAATATCCATACAGATAACCAACCCCAATACTAACATTTATCATAATCAGGAATTATGTAACAGCTTTGGTCATTGGAGTAAAACAGGACAACCATGCACCTTTGCTTACAGCAAGGTATTCTTGTATCTAAATGAAAAAGAACATTTCTGTAGGTGCATGATTTTTTCATGTCTAAATAAATTTTTAATTAAAAAATCTTTTTTTACAGAAAAGTTACAAGGACAGTACAGTGAGTTCTCACATACACTGTATTCGGTTTTTACTATTATTAACATCTTGTATTAGTATGGTACACTTATCACAACCAATGAACCAATATTGCTACATTATTATTAACTAAAATCTAGACTTCATTCAGATTTTTGTACTTTCTCCCTAACGACCATTTTCTGTTCCAGAATCCCATTTGGAGCAACACATTACATTTAGTTGTCATGTCTCCTTAGACTTGACTGGGCTGTGACAGTTTCTCAGACTTTCTTGTTTTTGATGCCCTTGACAGTTTTGGAGACTACTGGTCCCAAAATTCTAGGTATTTTGTAAAATGTTTCTCAACTGGTGTTTGTCTGATGTTTTTCTCTTAGGACTGTGGGTTATGGGGAGGAAGACCACACATGTAAAGTGCCTTCTCAATACATCATATCAAGGCAAGGATACATGTAATCAACAAGACTTACCACCATCGATGTGGCCTTTGGTTTTCTGGCTGTGGTAGTGTTTGCCAGCTTTCTCCACTGTAAAGGTTGTAGCTGAATATTTAGTAAACATTAGTAAGTGTTGCAAGAGTTGTGTATACTCAGAAAATAAGACATATGCCCACCTATCTAGTAAGAATTAGTTTCTGGCTGGAGGGAAGGAGTTAAGAGAGGTCTCAAATTCCCTTTCAACTCTGGAATTCCAAACTCCCACTCTCTATCTATTCACACTTGTTAATAGAAGCTGGTTAAGTGCAATCTTTTTGTTGTAAAGAATTTATGAATGATTCAAAATACATGTCTTAAGGCTGAGAATTAATTGGACCCCCTCCCCCCACCATGAGTGTTTGGATCATTCTCTATTGACTTTACTTTTTAAACTGGATTTTAGGAATAATTTCTGGATTTCAATAGCATTTTTAGGTTGAAAGACTTATGACACAGATGGAATGTCTAACTTACAATAGTTGATCATCCATAAGCTCCAAATACATCACTAAGAGAACATAAAATAATGGACAAAGAGAATATTACAGGAAAGAATTGTGGCAGAAGTAGGGGAGTGGTGTATGGGGGAGAATGAGTTGTCAGAAATTTATTTGCAAATAGATCAAAGTCATAGTCCCACAAACATTAAAGTTCCCTAGACTTTAGGAAGTAAATTTTATTTAAGATTGTTTTTAAGTTGTATTGTTGCACTAGTTTAAAATTTCCTTGTCTTCAGATGCTTAGTGTCTAATGAGAGAGACAAGGAAAAACTAGATAAATATAATGATCATGGAAAGTACTACACCCATCTGACAGGAGGAAATAGGTCAACACCACACACATACACATACACACACACAAACACATTCATACACATTTATAATTTGTACCATTTATTAATACACCCCATTGTGGTTTGTTGGTACACCTGTATGTGTTGTATGTGGCATGTGGGTGCTTCATTTGGAATACATGTCCCAGGAACTTTTGGCAGTAATTGAGGTCAACTTAAACAGATGAAAGCACATATAGGAAAGAACAGTCTGATTTCTCCAACTACACAAAGCTAAAGTGAGTCCGAGGTAACCTTAACTGAGATGACCTTACAGCCATCTGCCATTTCCCAAATAAGTCAATACAACATGAGATAAGATTTAAAGGCTATAAACATATGAAAACTCTATTTCCTTGGCCAGTTATGGGTGGCAGGGTAATCCAAAAAAAAAAAAAAAAAAGAGAGAGAGAGAAAACTAGGCTAGAATCAAAATCAGCAGATGATGTGGCAGCACATGGTCAGCACGGATTAGAGGTTAAGATCATGAACTCCAAAAACAGAGTGTCAGAGTTCAGATCCGAGCTCTGCCAACTATTAGGTATGTGATCTATCTGTGCCTCCATTTTATAATCCCTAAAATAAGGATAATAATAGAACCTATCTAGTTTTCATAATATAGTTTTAAGGATTAAATGAGTTAATATCTCTGATAACATTAAAATTAACTCTGATGTTTAATGACCATATAAGTGTTAATTGTTTATTATTACTTCTTATAGCAACTAAGGGTAGCTTCTTACAGCTGTACTAAATGAACACTTTAGAATGAAATAAACTTAAATTTTAGTTCTTATTCAGTATGTGTGACTTTAGGTAAGTCGTTTATCCTCTCTGAGTCAGTTTTCTCAACTTTAAAATGGCACTTATGAGGAGTAAATAAACCATGCATATATAATCTTTAAAACATCAGCTCAGTGTTTATTGTAATTATTAACATACCGATAGTACTGGCTAAATAAAACGTAGAAGTAAACCAAATGAAGAGAGATCTCTTAATAAAAAGTGATGGACTCCAGCACTGGCTGTCACTAAACTTGGAGGTTCTTAAACATCTATGGTGGGAGAGCAGTGTATTGCTACTTTCAGGGCCACAGAAAATGTTGCTAATGTTTGTTATCAAAAGATATTTTATGACCTGATTTTTGACTTTTAAAGAGAAGGACTTGATTGTCCAGCAGGTGCTTTTCTTATATTTGGTGTGTGTGGTTTGCAAGCAAGAGAAATATAAATGTACATACAATTTTTTGTACACTACATGCTATAAACATATTTTTGTAAAAGGGTTATAATCACTAGAAGTATCTTTATTCCAAAGTTGCTTCCAAATGGTGTATCTTTTGTTTACAACTGTGTATTGAATTATTCACAGAGAAAAAATGTGAATACATCAATTAAAACATAATTTTCTCATCCCTACTAAATTACTATATATCTTGTAGACAGATACAGGGTAAGGTCTTATTAGATTAACAAGTTAGAATATTTGGGGTGGGTTACAGAGCAGTGATTACAGAAGGATGTGTACATGTAAGTAGGATGAGTAGCAGGAAAGCAGTTAAATAAAAGTGCTCAATAAGATTTTTAATGAAAAAAGTAAGCTTCTAGAAAAAATGAAAAATGGGAACCAGATGTATCCTCATACCTGAAACCATTAAAAAATAGACAAAATATATGAAGCAATAGTTTACAGGCAACAAAGTCACTAATCTCTGAGAGAAGGGAAACAAATAATTCACTTGATGATTATTAAAGTCTTCCTCTGCTGAGGTCACCCTTTGGTGAACATTCACATGGCACACAAATATCTTCATATCTTTTGACCATTCTGAGATATTTTGTCCACATATCTCTTTCCCAAACTTCTTTGTCACCACTTTTCCAATCATGTTCTTTCCAAGTCCCTCACCATTCAGCCATACCATTGACTACAGACCATGAGTTGGGATATAATCACATATCTGGCTATTTCTCCTTCCAAGCAAAGTGTACAACCAGGTGCACTGCTTAAAATTCTGGCCACTGGGAAGATTTCCCTTCACCACTGTCCTTCAGGAATGTCCCCCAAAGAGTCTGTAGTACAATAGTTGTCCACTCTCAAGTGGTCCCTGCATATCATGCAGAACTACCTCTAAACCAGGCTCCACTCTCTCTTCTTCTATCTACAGATTATAGGATATCTTCGAGGATGGAGTTTTGAAATATGCCTTTGAATAAGCATTTCAGATTTTAATACACTCTAAATTTTATATATAGATACATACTTATAGACATAGATAGATAGATTCTTGGAGAAATATTACTTAACCCATAGTATAACTTATGCTTTATAAATGAGTTTTATTATATGTATCAGCAGATATGCAGGTTTACTGAACATTTTCAGGAAAAAATAGCAAAATGTATATATAGAGGAGAGCAATAAAAGGATAACAGTAATGAACTTTGTACTCTACATACAGAAATAATTGTCAGAAATACCTGAACTTTATTCTAATTTCATCTTGTGGCTTCAGACAATCTAGATATCCTCTCTGTTTCTGTTTTCTCAAGTAGTAGAATGGAGGAAAATGCTACAAATGGCATTAAATAAAATATAGATGACTGGCCATCTATAACTCCAGTAATTAAGTTCTCAAGAAATTCTGCCAATTCTCAAGTTTTTAGGAGCTGATTACCGAGCTTGCATTTCTGTACTTCATCTTGCTTACTTGCCCCTCTGCATTCCAGTGCTCATTAGCACTCACCCCTGAGAGTAGGCAGGAAAAAAAGGTGAAATTCATGTCAATCAATCATGACATTTCTTAATTGCTCTGCTCATTTCTCACAGTGAGAGAGTGAAGAGGATGGGGATAGAACATCATTGTGATTATATAGAAATAGAAAAATACAGCTTCCAGCATATACAGCATGAATATGGTTACTCCATGCATGCTTGTTGAGTACATGAAAGGTATAAGGTTTTGACACATAACCAATGAAGTAAGTGGGAGGTTTCAGGAAGTCCTAGAAAGAAGTGGAATTTCATTGGCTTGCATTTTCTTTTCTTTTCTCTTTAAAAATACAGTTTAAATGCTGATTTTATTTCAATAGGAGGTGAAGAATATCACAATGTGGTTCCTAAAATGATGTATGGAAATTCAAAGAGACATCATTCCACTATCACATTCCCGTGTCCTAATAGTAGGATGCTAGGCTATATTTATATAATTAAAACTAAAGGTTTGGACTCCAGAATGTCTGGGTTCAAATAATTCCAACTCTGCCCTTAGCCAGGTAAATTTGAACAATGTGCTTTACCTCACTGTAACTCAGCTTTCATACATATTATTCCAAAATCACAGGGTTTTTGAGATTAACTGAAGTAAAACATGTAAAGCACATAGACATAATTAGCATTAAACAAATGTTAACTATTATTATGTATAGTACTTTACATTTTAGTAAACATTTTTATATTATCTTATGTGATTACTTTAAATTTTAAAAAGCAAGATCTTTTTCTCTAAAAGTTCTCTTCTTATTACCAAAATATTTAACGTCCATTCTATCTGCCTAGAAATATAATAAAAAATAAGATATGAGGAAATAAATAGGAAGAAATAAAATATGAAGAAAACAAAACCACCCAAAATTCTTGAAGACAAACATTCAATGTTTTTGTGCATTTTCTGTGTTTGTTTTGTTTTATTACTTCCTGTGCTTATATTTTTCAATTTTTTTTTTTTTGAGACAGTCTCACTGTCACCCAGGTTGCAGTGCAGTGGTGCAACCTCAGCTCACTGAAACCTCCATCTCCTGGGCTCAAGCGATCCTCCCACATCAGCTTCTCAAGTAGCTGGGACTTAACAGTCGTGCATCACCATACCTGGCTAATTTTTTGTACAGATTGGGTCTTGCTATGTTGCCAGGGCTGGTCTTCAGCTCCTGGGCTCAAGCAGTCCTCCTGCCTCAACCTCTCAAAGTGCTGGGATTACAGGCGTAAGCCACAATGCCCAGGCCCTGTACATATTTTCACCTCATTGAGATAATAGGTTGAAATCCATGAGATGTCAGTGCTCAAATTTTAGGCTCCCAAAAATGGCAATGTGATTTACTATACAATGTTGTGTCTTGCATTTTTGTCCATTTATTATGATATATACATCATCAGCTATAAGAATGGAGATTATTGTTCCCATTTTATAGTTTTAGAAATTGAAGCTAAGTATATTTAAATAATTTATTCTAAGAGAGATAATTTGCAAGTACTGGAAGTAATAATAAGGTCTAGATCATCTTATTTAAAGGAAAATGCACTTTATCTTATAGCAGTTCATCTTTTAAAATTATTAGTTAAAAACATGAATCTTAAAATGAGATGTGATTGAATACTAATCTTATTTTTCATATTTTCAAACAGCATCCTATCCATTCTTCTGTCTTTATAAACTGTCCATCTTCTATTTCATTTTTCCATTTCATGCCCTCCCCTCAAAAAGTACTTGAAGCTTCCTCATTGTCAGTTCATCCAAGGTCATATATTAAATGCCTAAAAAATGAGTCCTAGTGTTTTATAATCACCATATCACAAAGACTATAATCTTATCACCAACATTATCAAGATTATTACTCCACCAGTTTCTTCAATCCCTTATTCTCAGCTAAAATATTTTAAAGAATAGCCATACTGCAAAAGAAATTTATAGATTCAATGCTATCCCCATCAAGCTACCATTGACTTTCTTCAAAGAATTAGAAAAAACTACTTTAAATTTCATATGGAACCAAAAAAGAGCCTGTGTAGCCAAGACAATCCTAAGCAAAAAGAACAAAGCTGGAGGCATCATGCTACCTGACTTCAAACTATACTACAAGGCTGCAGTAACTAAAACAACACGGTACTGGTACCAAAACAAATATATAGACCAACGGAACAGAACAGAGGTCTCAGAAATAATGCCACACACCTACAACCATCTGATCTTTGACAAGCCTGACAAAAACAAGCAATAGGGAAAGGATTCCCTATTTAATAAATGGTGTTGGGAAAACTAGCTAGCCATATGCAGAAAACTGAAACTGGGCCCTTTCCTTACACCTTATACAAAAATTAACTCAATCTGGATTAAAGACTTAAACGTAAGACCTAAAACCATAAAAACTCTAGAGAAAAACCTAGGCAATACCATTCGGGACATAGGCATGGGCAAAGACATCATGAATAAAACACCAAAAGCAATGGCAACAAAAGCCAGAATTGACAAATGGGATCTAATTAAACTAAAGAGCTTCTGCACAGCAAAAGAAACTATCATCAGAACGAACAGGCAACCTACAGAATGGGAGAAATTTTTGGCAATCTATCCATCTGACAAAGGGCTAATATCCAGAATCTACATGGGTGAAGGATATGAACAGACTCTTCTCAGAAGATATTTATGCAGCCAACAAACATATGAAGAAAAGCTCATCATCACTGGTCATTAGAGAAATGCAAATCAAAACCACAATGAGATACCATCTCACACCAGTTACAATGGCGGTCATTAAAAAGTCAGGAAACAACAGCAGATGCTGGAGAAGATGTGGAGAAATAGGAATGCTTTTACACTAAAGAATGCCACAAACACATGCAGAATGTACGCTATTCTACAGAAACCTCAACACAGTTCTTTCGATAAGTCAGTAGAACGAAGAACGAAAGAAACTCAACAAAACAACTGTGGCAGACACAGAGATGTACCTCTCAGATCCTCCATTAAAAAAACACTTCTTGCCTAGCTGACAGCCTCCAGATGTGAGTTCCTGTAGGTCGTCCTCAGCTTTTTGTTCTCCGCTCTCCCTATTGAGTGAAGAAGAATGTAGCATATGGTGGTGTTACAGTTTCCCCATCTCCAATCTTGCTTTCTGTTTTTCGTTCTCCCAATAAATCTCTTGCACTCTTAATATCATCTTACTGCTTTCTTGGAAACTTAACTGGTACAATATCCAAATGGCAATGTGAGACTAACCTGATATAGATTGTATGTCACAAAACTAACTGTGAAACATATTTTTTAGGCAATCAAAAAATTTGAATACAACTTGCATGTTATTCTTACTAAGGTATTTTTGTTAATTTTATTGTGTGTGACAATGACATTAGGGTTATATGAGAGAACATTTATATATTTTGGAAATGTTTCCAAAATAGGTGGTGAAATAACATGACATTTGATCAGCCCCATGATTCAGTTATATCTACCTGGTCTCTCCCATGATATGTGGGGATTTGGGGGATTATGGGGATTACAATTCAAGATGAGATTTTGGGTGGGGACAAAGCCAAACCATATCACCCATCAATTTTTTATTTAATCATTTTATGCCATGATAATTATTATACTATTAAGAATCACAAAGTCATGATTTTATAATTCTATAATTTCTTCAACATTTATTAGCATGCTATCTTCTGTAAAGAATAGCTTTCCCTCTAACCCCGCTGGAAATAAGGAAACAACAACAACAAAGAATATCTTTCTCTTATCAATATGAACTACTTTGTTACTCTACAAGGAAATTGTAAATGAAAAAGTAAATAAAGGAATAAATGCTTAACTATTTTCCTGCATAGAGCCAATTTTCATAAGGAGCTGTGTCCTACTTACTTTCTATGACTAATGAGATTTTATGTTTTATTTTGTGTTTTATTTATATTGCTTTTTGTTTTCTCATTTTCATGTAATATTATAAACTCATGGATTTTGTTTGGACTCGTATTTAAGAATAGAATTTATTGCTAAAAAGAGGGTATTTAGGTACAAAATTTAAAACTAACCCATTTATTCTGCTACTCTCTACTGAAATTTTAATGAAAACAATGAAATATTTTGCTCCCCCAAACTACTAAATGCAAGATAAATAGAATTATATATTTATTCATGGATCTCTCTATCACATTAAAATTAAGAACTACTCTTCTATATAACCTTATTACTTTATAAACTCAGTACATTCTTTTGCCCATTATAATAATATATGTCAAATTAAAATGGTTCCATTTTCTTTGCATAAGAACCCCTTCTTTCCTTTATATTTTTTAAAAATGTATAAGTTTTCATTTTGAAATTAATTCGGGTTTATAAAACATTGCAAAATAATAGTACAAAGAATTTCTGAATGTCCTTCCCCAGCTTCCCTGAAACAGAGACTTATGGGTATGTTGGACCATGTGGCAACCTTGAGAAGTAATGTCACTAACTAAGGATAGTAGTGTAAAAGATGGAAGGAATCTTGGTTCTGAATGATTATGGAGTTGCTATGCTAGTTGAGGACAGCCTGCCCTTAGCTTCTTGTTTGTGGGAGAGAAATGAAACTCTTTTTGTGTAGCAGATATTTTGGGTTTTCTATAATATGCATGCGGGCTAGTCTCTTCTTAACTGATGCCTAAAGACTTCTCACATTTATCCCCATTATGATCATTCTCACAACATCTTGTAGCATGCTGTTTTACTGCATATTTATTTTTTCATGTTGCATTACTCATAATATTTTTGGGAAGGAATTATGTTCTGAAATATAGCATCTGGATATTCATACTAAGTAGCCTTTTTAACTTTTATACAATTGTGTAGGTTTACACACTTTCTGAACCCAAAAATCAGTCATAATCAGTATACCCTTATATGTAAACACTATCCCAAATCATCTCTTAACTAGAATACCTACCTTGTGCCTTGAAATCAGGTGTGCTTTGACTATTCAGTAGCTCACCGTCTACGGTCAAAAAGTCTTATAAATTCCCTATATTCTAATTTTATCATTTAATCATCACTTCATGGTTATAAGGTGAACAGGTTGGAAATTATTGCAATTTAATAAGTAAATAAACTGTGACAAGAGATAGCAAAAAAATTTTGTGGTCTCATTCTGGTGAGATATAGAATCAGGATTAGAAAATAGTTTATGTCTTCTGCCCTGTATGTCTACTATTTAATATGTAGCAAAAATGCATCTGTATATAATAAAGACCCATATGGAATATTTTTAAAGCCTTGCATTTTAACACATGATGATTTCCAAATTCCTTAAGTCACATTATTTTCAGTACCTCATATATTTTTTTATTCTCACTGTGTCATATTTATTTCCAAACTAGTAGTGAAGTGATAAATATATATTATCAAGCATCATCTCTGTAACAGCAAAGAAATCACATATTTCAACTTAATCTATGCCCTGAACAGTTGCTAAAGATGAAGCCACATTATTTTTTATGTTTGTAGTGAAGTCAATTTTGTGATTTTTCTCATTTCTATAAATCAATTGAAACTAATATTATAATATTACTTATTCCATAGTATATTTTACACCATGAATACAGTATAATTTTAATAACAAGAATTACTGTGGATAATGTTTACCTTTTGCTTCTAATTAAAATGTGTAAGTCATACACAACATATAAAATAAATTTTATTTGGTTAATTTGCAAAAGTTGTTTAGCCAAATGTTCAGGGTAAGCTGTAATAATCACATGAATGTATTTACTAACATAAAAAATGGGTAGATTGGGGTGACGGGGAAGGGATAGCATTAGGAGATATACCTAATGTAAATGACGAGTTAATGGGTGCAGCACATCAACATGGCACATGTATACATATGTAACAAACCTGCACGTTTGTGCACATGTATCCTAGAACTTTAAGTATAATAAATATATATATATATATATAAAAGGTAGATTGTTTTTATTATATCAGGACACACATATAATAAGAATATTCTGTAACTAACCAGAATTTATATGTTTACTGGGACATTAGATAATTACTCTAAAATTGCCATGGAAACAAGGACATTTTAAGACAGTCATCATTGACTCTTTATGACCATTTATGTTACTATCTCCCTATGTTTCAAATTTGCTTATATAGAAATGTTTCTAGAGTGCTAAAATAACTCACCAATTATTACACAGTTATTACCTTGCATTTGGTTCCCAGAAATGCAAAATTCATTCCTGCAAAAAGTATTTCTAAACATTTGTTTCTCATTTACCATGTGCTTGGTAATGTAGTGAAAACATTGCTAACATTTATAAATAGGAACATATAATGTAGAATATACATGTTTTCCCTCATTTGCTAGTTTTCCCTTTTTTGTCACAATAAGCTATGTGTAGCAAGATAGTTTGAGTAATTCATTGTGTTCTTTTCACTATTGTGAGCTCAGCATGGGAAACAAAAGTGATAGGTTTTTCCATTCCTATTCCCTCAAAATGAGGAGCTAGGGCCTTGGGTGTTAGTGATCTGGGTTTCCCTTACCCCAATTGGAAATCATCATTCTTAGTAAACTATTGCAAGGACAAAAAAACAAACACCGCATGTTCTCACTCATAGGTGGGAACTGAACAATGAGAACACATGGACACAGGAAGGGGAACATCACACTCTGGGGACTGTTGTGGGGTGAAGAGGGGGGAGGGATAGCATTAGGAGACATATCTAATGCTAAATGATGAGTTAATGGGTGCAGCACACCAGCATGGCACATGTATACATATGTAACTAACCTGCACGTTGTGCACATGTACCCTAAAACTTAAAGTATAATAATAATAAAATAAAATAAATCATATAATGATACAGAAAAAAAAAACAACCCCATCAAAAAGTGGGCAAAGGATATGAACAGACACTTCTCAAAAGAAGACATTTATGCAGCCAACAAACATATGAAAAAATGCTTATCATCACTGGTCATTAGAGAAATGCAAATCAAAACCACAATGAGATGGCAGTTAGAATGGCAATCATTAAAGAGTCAGGAAACAACAGATAATGAAGAGGATGTGGAGAAAAAGGAGCACTTTTACACTGTTGGTGGGAGTGTATATTAGTTCAACCATTGTGGAAGACAGTGTGGCAATTCCTCAAGGATCTAGAACCAGAAATACCATTTGACCCAGCTATCCCATTACTAGGTATATACCCAAAGGATTATAAATCATTCTACTATAGAGACTCATGCACACGTATGTTTATTGTGGCACTATTCACAATAGCAAAGACTTGGAACCAATCCAGATGTCCATCAATGATAGACTGGATTAAGAAAATGTGGCACATATACACCATGGAATACTATGCAGCCATGAAAAAGGATGAGTTCATGTCCTTTGCAGGGACACGGATGAAGCTGGAAACCATCATTCTCAGCAAACTAATTCAAGATCAGAAAACCAAACACCACATGTTCTCACTCATAGGTGGGAATTGAACAATGAGAACACATGGACACAGGGTGGGGAACATCACACACTGGGGCCTGTCGGGGGGGGGGTGGTGGGGAGCTAGGGAAGAGATAGCATTAGGAGAAACACCTAAGGTAAATGATGGGTTGATGGGTGCAGCAAACCACCATGGCACGTGTATATCTATGTAACAAACCTGCATATTCTGCACTTGTACCCCAGTACTTAAAGTATAAAAAAATTAAAAATAAAAATAAACCTTTTTTCCTATTAAAAAATAAATAAATAAAAATATGGATTCAGAAGATACTGTTTTTGCATAGAGGAAGCTAAAGGTATTTAATGTTAAATGAGTGGAAGTAAATCACCCTGATGAAATGTTAAATGTTAAAACCATTAACGTTTAACTCTTGATGCAGCACTACAGAAGTGGCTGAGCCTCCAAACAGTGTGATTGTGTGTATGTCTGACATGAAACATGATGTTCTGGAATCATGGAGAAAGCCCTGTGTCAAAATTAAACAAGGGGAAAGTAGATGTTGCCACCAGAGAAACTCAGTCTCAAATGGATTGCAGAAACTGAGGGAAGAAGAAAAGCAGACTGAATCCACTGAAGCTGCACTGTCTAACGTAATAATCAGTACTCACCCAAGGCTATTTAAATTGAACATAAATGTATTAAAATTAGATAAAATTTAATTATTCATTCACATGCCACATTTTACATGCTCAATGGCAAGATATGGCTATGGCTACTACATTAACTCACAGAATAGATAAATTCCATTATCACAGAAAGTTCTATTGGACAGATTTTCCCTAGCACTTATGCCATACCAAGGAGAGATAAAATAAAAACAACTGAGGTTTTATTTCACAATAATATGTCATTTAGAAAATTTAGAAATATGGCACTTATCAGATGCCCAGTTTCAAGCAGAAAATTATTATTGTCCCAATTAAATTTTTTTCTTTCTTCTTTTTTTCCTGTATATCTCCTTCCTTCCTACCTTTAAATGCATTCTTATAATTCTCAAAATGTCATGTGGAAAGATCTTACAACAAACGAGTAAAGTAAATATGTTCCTGTGCAACTTGGTATAGTAATGGACTGCACTTAAAAGCAAGATAGCAAGATTTTCCTCAAAGGTTAGTGTTTTGTCTAAAATTTGATATGAATATTTTCTTTCTAGCAACTAGCGATTAAAGGAAAAGGAAAAAAATAATCTCTTTTAAAACAACTAGAAAGACCAGTGGGGAAAAGTAAAAAACAAACAAACAAACAAAATCTACTTAAAAATATTTGACACCCATGCAGGCAGAAAGGAAAAGAGATACTATCAGAGAAGTGAATCAAGCATTTGGGTTATTTTTTTTCCCTAGAATGGTTCACTAATGGTGACAGTATTATTAATATATGAGAAACTGAATTGAACTCAGTCAGGCTCAGAGGTATGAGAGAAGAAGGATTGGAATTTACAGAACACCAAAGAGGAGGTTCCCTAGCAAACACACAAAAGTTTATATGGGAAACTTTAATAAAGGTCTACACACTAAGAATAAGGGCAAACCAGAAATGGAGCAACCTTAACAAGAATGAATGAAAGCCCAGAATTAAATTGTACCTATAAGTGAGTTAATTGAAGTAATTTGAAATTATTAATGCCCCTAACCTAGTTTTCTGCGAAAAACAAACTAAATCTTCTCTGGAAGAATATATCTTCCAGAGCCTCAATTTTTCTCTATTATTTATCACATATAATGCCTAGAACTTACTCAAATTAAGCAGAATTACAAGGATATAAGATTATATGACCAAAACTTTAGCTATATGTAGTATTTATTATGGGAAATTCAAATAATGAAAATGTCAGAAACAAATTTTATAAAAATTAAGATTGCTATGTCCAAGCAATTAAAAGACAAAATTGAGAATTTTGAAGAAAAAGTGAAAATTATTTTTTAAAAGTGAAAATTTTAGAACTGAAAAATACAACAGACAAAATTAAGAATTCAATGAATGAGTTACAGTTGAAGAGAAGTTAATAAACCAGAAGATAAATCAGAAAAGATATGCTGATTGAAACACAGAGATTGAAAAGAATGGAAAGTGTAAAGAGGGGGCATAAGAGAAATATGAGACATGATACAAAGTAAAGGCATAATATACATTTATTTGAAGCCATGAATGGAAAAAAAAATAAATGAAATGAGGTACAAGCAATCATTGAAGAGGGAATGGCCGATAATGTTCCAAAATTGGCAAGTGACATCAAGCAATAAGCTTTATGAATCTTAGGATAAACAAAAATAATATCAGCAATAACAACATCAAAAAACTGCCTGGAAATAAAATTCCTGAAAGGCCAATAAAAAAGGGAAAAAGTCTAATATTCTTATCTCCCCAACTCTGTAGTAACCTTGAAAATCACCAGGTTTGCAACTACAGTAGCTGTAAAAACTAGTAGCCTTATTGGCACTGGAAAAGAACAGATTTAGGAGCTCCTCAAAAGCCACAGCCCAGACAATTAACTCTATTAACCCTTTTGGCAATTCACTGTAAGCTCCATTTTCAGAGTTTGTATTTATTTGACCTGACTCAGAGCTGTGAAAATAATGCTATCTCCCGTGAACTTGTCAAAAAAAATCAAGAACAACTGTGAACAACACAACTGACTGAGTTAGCATTATGAGTTGGGGTTAACAACTGGCTGATTAAAAAATCAAAAGGAAAACTTGAAAATAATATGTCCATAAGGGACTTTGATAAATTCCAACATATATCTGGAAATCTAGAAGTTCATGCAAAAATGCAGCAATGAGAGAGGCGGAGCAAGATAGAACAGAAAACTCCAGAGATTGTCCTCCCCACCCTGTAAACCAAGTTAACAATTATCTACAAAGAAAAAATACCTTCATAAGAACCAAAAATAAGGTGAGCACTCACAGAACCTAATTTTAACTTCATATCACTGAAAGGGGCACGGAAGAGCTAAGAAAAACAGTCCTGAATCACTGATGCCACCCCTCCCCTACCCAAGGCGGTGGTGGCATGTTGCTGCCAGCATCTCTGGGTGCTGGGGGAGGGTGAACACAGAAATTGTGAGGCATTGAACTCAATGCTGTCCTGTTAGAGTAGAAAGGAAACCCAGAGCAAACTCAACTGCTGCCTGCCCACAGAGGGAGCATTTAAATAAGCCCTAGCCCGAGGGAAACTGCTGATCCCAGTGGCCTGAACTTGAGTGCTCTCAAACTTCCCACCTAATCCAAAGTGCTCTGTCTTTAAGTAAACTTAAAAGGCAGTTTAGTCCATAAGAACTGCAACTCATAGGCAAGTCCTAAGGCTGAACTAGGCCTAGAGACATTAGACTGGGGCGGGAGGGATGTGGGAGGATAGTGAGATATTAAGATACCAGCTAGGACAGCCAAGGGAACGCTGGCATCACCCCTCCTCTAACCCCAGGCTACATAGCTCATGGCTTCAAAGAGACCCCTTTCTTCTGCTTGAGGAGAGGAGAGGGAAGAGTGGGGAGGACTTTGTCTTGCATCTAGGATACCAGCTCAGCCACAGTAGCATAGGGCACTGTTCAGATTCGTGAGGCCCTTGTTCCAGACCCGAGCTCCCAGATGACGTTTCTAGACACACCCTGGGCCAGAAGTGAAGCACTACCTTGAAGGATGGGACCCATTCCTGCCAGCATTTATCACCTGCTAACTGAAGAGTTTTTAGGTGCTGAATAGCAGAGATACCCAGGTATACACTGAGGGCCTTGATGAGCCTCTGAGACTTGCCGGCTTCAGGTGAGATTCAGCACATTACAAGCTGTGGTGGCTACAGGGCAAAACTACTTCTGTTTGAGAAAAGCAGAGGAAAAGTAAAAGGGTCTTTGTCTTGCACCTTAGGTACCAACACTGCCACAGGTGAGTAGAGCACCAAGTGGACTCTTGGGGTCCCTGATTCCAAGACTTGACTCTTGGATGGCATTTCTAGACCTGCCATAGGTCAGAGGGGTCCCACGGCTCTGAAGGGTGAGTCCCAGGCCAGACAACATTCACCACCAGCTGACTTAAGAGACCTTGGGCCATAAGAGAACATCAGTAATAGTCTGGAAATACTCCTTATAACCAGAGGTGGCAATGGCTACAGGGTGAGACACCACTGCCTTTTGAAAGAAGAGGGAATGGTGGGAAGGACTGCATCTTGTGATGTGAGTTCCAGCTTGGCTGCAATACAGTAGAAAACCACGTAGACTTCAGAAGTTTTTGACTAGTACCCAACTCTGGAATGGCACTTCTGGATCCCACCAGAGTCTGGGGGACTTCACTGCCTTGAAGGGAAAAACACAGGCCTGGCTGGCTTTGCCACCTGTTGATTGCAGAGCCCCAGGGCCTTGAGAAAACATAGTCAATAGCCAAGAAGTGGTAACAGCAGGTCTTGGGCAAGACACAGCAGGCTTCTGCTCTGACCCAGTGCAGTCATAGTGGTGGTAGACACAGGAGCACTTGTGTAAATTCACTTCCAGCTTTAGATGGTTTAGAACAGAGACAGAGACTATATATTTGGGAGAAAGTAAGGGAGGAGAACAAGAGTCTCTGCATTGTAATCCAGAGAATTCTCCCAGAAACTGTCCAAGTTCATCAAGGTGGTATTTCTAACAGTGTCCAAGAACCATAGCATTAATAGGCTTGGGGTGGCCCCTAAAGCAGAAACAACTTAGATCACAACATTCACATCCTTTCAAATATTTGGAAAGCCTTCTCCAAAAGGATGACTACAAATAAGCCCAGAAAGTGAAGGCTATGATAAATATCTAATTCTCCAGTACCTAGACACCAAAGAACATCTACTAACATCAACACCATCCAGGAAAACGTGACCTCAGCAAATGAACTAAATAAGGTACCAGGGACCAATCCTAGAGAAATAGACACATGTGACCTTTAAGAAAGACAATTCAAAATAGCTGTGTTGAGAAAACTCAAAGAAATTCAAGATAACACAAGAAGGAATTAAGAATTCTATCAGAGATATTTTTAAAAAATCAAGCAAAAATTCTGGACCTGGAAAATGCAATTAGAATGTTGAAGAATGTGTCAGTCTTTTAATAGGATGGATCTAGCAGAAGAAATAATTAGTGAGCCAAAAGAAAAATTAGAGGAGCCAAAAGAAAAAAAAATAAAAAACAATAAAGCACATGTACAGGATCAGATATAATAGCCTCAAAAAGGCAAATTTAAGAGTTATTGGCTTAAAGATGAGGCAGAGAAAGAGATTGAGGTAGAAAGTTTATTCAAAAAGATAATAACAGAGAACTTCCCAAACCTTCCCAACTGACATATTGAAAGATATCAATATCCAAGTTTAAGAAATTGATAGAACACCAAGCAGATTTAACCCAAACAAACTACCTGAAGGCATTTAATAATTAAACTCCCAAAGGTCAAGGATGAAGGACGAATCCCCAGAACAGCAAGAGGAAAGAAACAAACAACATACAATGGAGTTCCAATCTGTCTGGCAGCAGAATTTTCAGTGGAAATTTTACAGGACAGGAGAGAGTGGCAAGAGATATTTAAAGTGTTAAAGAAAAATAACTTTGATCTTAGAAAAGTATATCTAGCAAAAATATCCTTCAAGCAATAAGGAGAAAGAAAGAAAGACTTTCCGAGACAAAATCTGAAAAGTTTCATCAATACCAAACCTGTCCTAGAAGAAATGTTAAGGGCAGTGTTTCAATCAGAAAGAAGAAAATCACTAATGAGGAATAAATAATTACTGAAAGTTCAAAACATACTGGAAGTAGTAAGTATACAAAAAAACACAGACCATTATAACACTGTAACTGAGGTGTGTAAACTACTCTTATCCTAAGTAGAAAGATTAAACAATTAACCAATTAAAAACAATAACTGCAACAACTTTTCCAGGTATATGCAGTACAACTAGATAAAAACAGAAACTATAAAAAGTTAAAAAGCAGGGTGACAAAGTTAAGGGAAGTTTTTATTAGTTTCTTTTTGCTTTTGTGTTTGTTTAAGCAAATAGTGTTAAGTTATTATTAGGTTAAAATAATGGGTTATAAGATACTATTTGCAAGCCTCATGGTAACCTCAAACCAAAAAACATACAAGGGCTAAACAACAAATAAAAAGCAAGAAACTAAATCATAACACCAGGGAAAATCATCTTCATGACAGGAAGGCAGGAATAAAAGAAAGAAAGAGAAGACCACAACAAACCAGAAAACAAATAATAAAATGGCAGGAGTAAGTCCTCACTTATCAATAATAATATTGAATGTAAATGGACTAACTTTCCAATCAAAAGATATAGACCAACGGAATGGATAAACTAAACAAGACCCATCAATCTGTTGCCTACAAGTAACACACTTCACCTATAAAGACACACAAAGACTGAAATAAAGGAATGGAAAAAGATATTCCATGTCAATGGAAACTACAAAAGAGAAGGAGTAACTACACTTATATCAGCAATATAGATTTCAAAACAAAAACTATAAGAAGAAACAAAGGAAGTCACTATATAATGATAGAGGGATCAATTCAGCAAGAGGATATAACAATTTTAAATATATATGCACCCAAAACAGGAGCACCCAGACATATAAATGAAATACTATTAGAGCTAGAGAGAGATAAGCTCCAAAACAATACTAGCTAGAGACCTTAATACCCCATTTCCAGCATTGGACAGATCTTTCAGACAGAAAATCAACAAGGGAACATCAGACTTAATCTGCACCATAGATAAAATGAAGGTAGTAGATACAGAACATATTATCCAAGAGCTACAGAATACACATTCTTTTCCACAGTGCATGGATCATTCTCAAGGACAGACCATATGTTAGATCACAAAACAAGTTTTAAAAATTTAAAAAATTGAAATAATATCAAGCATCTTCTCTGACTGCAATGGAATAAAACTAGAAATTAATAACAAGAGGAATTTAATAAATTACAAGAATACATGGAAATTAAACAACATGCTGCTGGATGACTGGTGGGTCAGTGAAGAAATTAAGAAGAAAATTGAAAAAATTCTTGAAACAAATTATAATGGAGACAGAACATAGGAACACCTGTGGGATACAGCAAAAGCAGTACTAAGAGGGAAGTTCATAGATATAAGTGCCTACATTAAAAAGGAGAAAAAACTTCAAATAAACAATCTAATGATGCATTTTAAAGAGCTAGAAAGGGAAAAGTAATCCAAACACTAAATTAGCAGGACAAAATAAATAATAAAGATCAGAGCCAAAATAAGTGAAATAGAAATTAAAAAATACAAAAGATCAATAAAAAAGGTTCATTTTTCTGAAAAGCTAAACAAAATTGACAAACTTTTAGCCAGACTAAGAAAAAATGAGAGATGATCTAAATAAATAAAATCAGAAATAAAAAAGGAAGCATTACAGCTGATAACTGCAGAAATTCATAGGATCATTAATGGTTACTATGAACAACTATATGCCAATAAATTGGAAAGTCTGGAAGAAATAGATAAATTCCTATATACATACAACCTACCAAAATTGAACCAGGAAGAAATTCAAAACTTGAGAAAGCCAATAACAAGTAACAAGATCAAAGCCATAATAAAAAGTCTTACAGTAAAGAAAAGCCCGGAACCTGATGCCTTCACTGCCAGATTTTACCAAACATTCAAAGAACAACTATTACCAATTGTACTCAAACTATTCAGAAAAATAGAGAAGAGAATACTTGCAAACTCATTCTGTGAAGCCAATATTACCTTGATATACCAAAACCAGATAAAGACATATTTAAAAAAAAAAAAGAAAACTACGGACCAATATCACTGATGAATATTGATGCAGAAATCCTGAACAAAATACTAGCAAACCAAATTGAACAATACATTAGAAAGATCATCCATTATGACCAAGTGGGATTTATCCCTGGGTGGATGGATGGTTCAACGTATACAAGTCAATCAATATGATACATCATATCGATAGAATAAAGTATAAAAAGCATATGATCATTTCAATTGATGCTGAAATGCATTTGATAAAATTCAACATTTCTTCATTGTAAAAACCCCCAAAAAACTGGGTATAGAAGGAAAATACCTCAACACAATAAAAGCCATATATGACAGACACACAGCTAGTATCACACAGAATGGTGAAAAACTGAAAGCCCTTCCTCTAAGATCTGGAACACAACAAGGATGCCCACTGTCACCTCTGTTATTCAACATAGCACTGGAAGTCCTATCCAGAGCAATCAGACAAGAGAAATATATAAAGGACCTCCAAATTGGAAAGGAAGAAGTCAAATAATCCTTATTTGCTGATGATAAGATCTTATATTTGGAAAAACCTAGAGTCCACAAGAAAACAATTAAAACTGATAAATTCAGTAAAGCTGATGGATACAAAATCAACATACAAAAATCAGTAGCATTTCTGTATGTCAATAGTGAATAAAATGGAAAACAAATCAAAAAGTAATTCCATAGATAAAGTCACAAATACAATTAAATACCTAGAAATTAACTTAATCAAAGAAGTGAAAGATCTCTATAATAAAAACCATAAAACACTGAAGAAATTAAAAGGGACACAAAAAACTGGAAATACATTCCATGTCCATAGATTGGAGGAATCAATACTGTTAAAATGTCCATACTACCCAAAGTGTTCTATAGATCAAATGCAATACCTATCAAAATACGAATGACACTCTTCACAGAAAAGAAAAATCTGAAATTTATATGGAACCACAGAAGACTCTTGCGGGAAGTCAGGGACCCGGAACAGAGGGACCGGCTGAAGCCACGGCAGAAGAACATAAATAGTGAAGATTTCATGGACATTTATTAGTTCCCCAAATTAATACTTTTATAATTTCTTACACCTGTCTTTACTGCAATCTCTGAGCATAAATAGTGAAGATTTCATGGACATTTATCACTTCCCCAAACATTACTCTTATAATTTCCTATGCCTGTCTTTACTTGAATCTCTTAATCCCGTCATCTTCGTAAGCTGAGGAGGTATGTCGCCTCAGGACACTTGATGATTGTGTTAACTGCACAAATTGTTTATAAAACATGTGTGTCTGAACAATATGAAATCCGGGCACCCTGAAAAAGAACAGGATAACAGCGATATTCAGGGAACAAGGGAAATAACCACAAGGTCTGACTGCTTGTGGGGCCGGGGAGAACAGAGTCATATTTTTCTTACTGCAGAAAATGAATAGGAGAAAATCACAGAATTCTTTTCCCAGTGAGGAATAACCCTGGGAAGAGAATTCATTCCCAGAGGAGGCTTATGGATGCTGCTCTGGGAGTGCCTGTCTTATGCAGTTGAAGATAAGAGATAAAATATGCCCTGGTCTCCTGCAGTGCCCCCAGGCTTGCTAGGATTAGGAAATTTCAGCCTGGTGAATTCTAGTCAGATCGGTTCTCTGTTCTTGAACCCTGTCTCCTGTTAAGATGTTTATCAATGACAATGCATGCACAGCGGGACATGGAACATCATCAGTAATTATAATTTCATCTGGCCTTGTAACCTTGCTCTGCCCTTCTGTCCTTGTGATCTCTTATTGCCCCTAAAGCATGTAATCTTGTGACCCACTCCCTATTCAATCTTCCCCTTTTGAAATCCCTAATAAAAACGTGCCGTTTTTGCTGCTCAGGGGGCATCATGGAACCTGCTGACTTGTGATGTCACCTCCAGAGGCTCAGCTGTAAAATTTCTCTCTTTTTTACTCTTTCTCTTTATTTCTCAGACCAGTCAACACTTAGGGAAAATAGAAAAGAACATACATTGAAATACTGGGGGCTGGTTTCCCCAGTAAAGATCCAGAATCACCAAAGCTATCCTAAGCCAAAAGAACAAAACTGGAAAAATCACATTTTCCCCTGGCTTCAAATTCTACTACAGAGCTATAGTAACCAAAACAGCATGGTACTGGCATACAAACAGACACATAGACCAATAAAACAGAATACAGAACCCAAAAACAAATCCACACACCTATAGTGAATTCATTTTTGACAAAGGTGCCAAGAAAATACACTGGGGAAAAGATATTCTCTTCCATAAATTGTGCTGGGAAAACTGGATTACCATAGATCCATGGATCACAAAAGAATAAAACTATTTGCCTATCTCATACCATATAAAAATAGCAAATCAAAATGGATTAAAGACTTAAATATAAGATCTCAAACTATGAAACTACCACAAGAAAATATTGGGGAAAATATCCAGGACATTGGTCTGGGCAAAGATTTCTTGAACAATACCCCAGAAGCACAGGCAACCAAAGCAAACATGGAAAAATGGGATCACACCAAGTTAAAAAGCTTCTGAACAGCAAAGAGTACAACCAATGAAGTTAAGAGACAACTCAGTAAATGGGAGAAAATATTTGCAAACTACCACCTCTGACAAGGGATTAATAACAAGAACATATAAGGAGCTCAAACAACTCTATAGGTAAAAAATCTAATAATCTGATCAAAAATGGGCAAAAGGTTTGAATAGACATTTTTTCAAAAGAAGACATACACATGGAAAACAGGCATATGAAAAGGTGATTACCATCACAGATCGTCAGAGAAATGCAAATCAAAACTACAATGAGATATTATCTCATTCCAGTTAAAATAGCTTATATCCCAAAGATAGGCAATAACAATTACTTGTGATGGTGTAGAGAAAAGGGAATCCTTGTACATGGTTGGTGGGAATGTAAATTAGTAAAATCAGTATAAAGAACAGTTTGGAGGTTCCTCAACAAAGCAAAAATTGAGCTACCATATGATTCAGTAGTCCCACTGCTGGATATATACTCAAAAGAAAAAATATCAGTATATCAAAGAGATATCTGCACTTCTATGTTTGTTGCAGCACTCTTTACAATAGCTAAGATTTGAAAGTAACCTAAGTGTTCATTAACAGATGAATAGATAAAGAAAATAGGATACACATACACAATGGAGCACACTGTTCGGCCATAAAAATGAATGAGATCCAGTCATTTACAACAACATGGATTGAACTGGATATCATTATGTTAAGTAAAACAAGCCAGGCACAAAAAGACAAACATCACATATACTCAACTGTGGGATCCCAAACTCAAAACAATTGAACTCATGAACCTAGAGAGTAGAAGAATTGTTACCAGAGGCTAAGAAATGTAGTGAGGGCTTGGCAGGGGAGATGGGTAAAGTTAATGGTTACAAAAAAAAAAAAAATAGAAAGAATGAATAAGACCCACTGTACAATAGCACAATAGAGTGACTATAATCAATAATAATTGTATATTTTAAAACAACCTAAAGAATGTATTTGGAGTTTTTGTAACTCAAAGGATACATGCTTCAGGGAATGAATACCCCATTCTCCATGATGTGCTTATTTCACATTTTCATGCCTCTATCTAAACATTTCATGTACCTCATAAATATATACACTTACTATGTACCCACAAAATTTTTTAAAAATTATTTTAAAAATTCTAAAAAAATGTCATGCACAGGACTCTACATGTCCAGGGCTGGGAGCCAGCCCAGGAAAGAGTTGAAAAGACCTCATTTCTCACCTATGGTTGACCTTGAGGTTCTGTGTGAGCAGGAATTAAAGGCTAAGGAAGAGTTATAAACTCCCTGTGCAAGCATTGAGATTATACCCAACACACACGCAGAGCCCTTCAGCAAAATCTAGGAGATATATACATTCAAGTCATTTAAGAAAATATGTCTGATCATTAAAGGGGCACTTAACTAACTGAACAGAGGCTTCAGTGTCCACACACAACAAATAATACAAGCTTTAGATAATTAGTCCAGGAAAGTCACTAAACAAATGGCAACAATAATAACAGCAAAGAAAATGACATATTGGTGGCCAGGGAAAATCCGATCCCCAGAGTTGGCACATTATATTATTTAAAATGTTCAGTTTTTGAAACACAAAGAAACAGAAAAGTATGGTCTATTCACAAGAGAAAAAAATTGAAGGCAATAAAAATGGTCTTTGAGGAAGTCCAAATGTTGGCATTTCTAGACAACTAAAACAATCTAGCACACTGAGACAACTAAGAAGGACACAATGTCATAAGTTGTTACAAATATCTTCAAAGAAGTAACGAAAACCCTGTATAAAAAATTAAAACAAAGTATGAAAACATCTTACCAAAGACAAAATATAACCAAAGAGACAAAAATTATTTTTAACAAAGACCAAATTGAATTTTAGAGTGAAAAGTACACTAACTGATATTAAAAATTCACTAAAGGGGCTCAACAGTAGATCTGAGCAGGCAGAAAAACCAGTGAATTTAAACAAATGTTGATTGAAATTATCCAGTCTAAGGAATGGAAAAAAAATGTGAAGAAAAATAAACACAGGCTCAGAGACCTGTGGGACACCATCAAGTATACAAACATATGCATAATGTCAGTTTCCAAAGCAGAGGAGAGAGAGTGAAAGAAATGGAAAGAATAACTGGAGAAATCATGGAGATTATGTAATCTGTCTATCTATCTAATAACATATATATAAAATCATAGAAGAAAAAGATTTCAAATTTTTTGAAAACATTTATCTCCACATCCAAGAAGCTCAACAAACTCCAAGTGGAATAAACTAAAAGCAATCCACACCTTGATATTCAAGGTGTCAAGAGCCAAAGACAGAGAGAATATTGAAATCTGCAAGAAAAATGTGACTCATCACTACCAGGGACACTTGATAAAATTAATAGCTGACTTATCAGAAACAACGGAGGCCAGAAGGCAGTGGTATAACATATTTAAAGTGCTTTAAAAAATAGACAGTCAACCAAGAATTTTATATCCAGCAAAAATCTTTCAAATATTACAGAGAAGAAGTGGTTCTTCATATACACACAGACCATATTACAAATGAATACATAGGTAGTTGTGGTGATTTTCTCTTGCAGAATAAAACACTCTGTGTAGACCTCAATTCTTCAGTGTCTTCTCTTTGGAATTATATAAAGTTCACAAATGATGTCTTGAACATATGATTCCAAGACCATTGTATTTTCTTCAGAAGGCCACTTCTACCAAGTTGAATACACCAGGGAATCATCAAACACACAGGCATCTTTTGGAGAATTTTAGCAAACACTGGTGTTTTGCTTGCAACAGACAGATATAGCATCCACAAGCCTCTTGATAAAATCTTTTATTAAAAAATTATGAACTCAGTGAGGAAATGGCTTGCAGTATATATGAAACAATAATGTTCGGACTAGTAAACTAAAGCTCATTACTCAGAGTTATTTATTATAGTATTAAGAGCCAACTCCTGTGAGCAGTTGGTTATAGCATTGTGTAATATCAAACAAGCATATATGCAGTTTGGAGGGAAAATTCCCATTGATGTTTCATTGCTATGCACAAGCTGGAATAAGGACTGTGGCTTTCAGGTCTATTAGAGAAACAATGTAGAAATTATGGGGAACGGAAAGTCACATGACCCATGTCTAGACAACTAAACTTCTAGATATATTCCCCAAAAAGCTAAAAACAGATGCTCAGCAAAAAACTTGTACACAAATGTTCATAGAAGCATTATTCACAGTGATCAAGAAGTGGAAACAACTATTTATCAAAGGATGAATGGATAAACAAAATATGGTATATCTACACAAATGATTTTTTTGGCCATATAAATGAATGAAAAACTGATACATCCTACAACAGAGATGAACTTTAAAAATATCAAGCTAAGTGAAAGAGCCAGATCACAAAAGACCACATATTGTATGATTCAAGTTATATGAAAATGTTCAGAATATGTAAATCCATAGTAACAGAAAGTATGTTAGTTGTTGCCAGGAGGTAGCACAAAGGAAAATTTGGAGTGATTGCTAATGAGTATGAAGATTCTTCCTAGAGTGATGAAGCATTCTGAATTTGGATAGCGTCAATAGATGAATATACGGAATATGCTAAAAAAAAAAACACTGATTTCTATGTTTTAAAGGGTAGGACTTTGAGGTACATGAATTATATGTCAAGAAAGTTGTTATTTAAAAAAATCTGCATGGAAAACTATAACATGCTATTGAGAAAAATTAGAGAAGATGTACATAAGTAGAGAAATATACATTCATGGACTGCAAAACTACCTATTGAACATAAGTAAATGTTCCTCAAATATTTCTGTAGATTAAATGCTATGCCAATCAACTACAAGCTTATTCTAAAATTTATATGGAAGTGTAAAAGATCAAGAAAAAATAGAAATTCTTGAAGTAGAACAAAGAAGGTAGTCATATTTTACTAAACATAAAGGTTATTACAAAATTAAATCAATTAAGACATTGTAGTATTGACACAAGGTAGACAAACAGATCTGACACTGTTGCAGGGGACCCCAGTCAGCCACAGCGCCTGGCATTGTTTACACATAACTGGAAGTAAGTGCAGGAGACAACTGCAAATAGAGGATGCAAAACCATAAATGGAAAAGGATGCTTGGATTATGCAGGCAGCAGGACATTCAACTCCCTGCTGACTAGCTGAACGGGGTCCTACAGATTTCATTGTAGGAAATAAAATAATAATACAACCATATTTTATACTTTTAAAACTTTTGAATGCCACTCATCACATTATAGGAGATTTTACAGTGATTCCTCTGAGGTACCTAGGAAGGGTATAATTGTAGATGGCTGAGTATCATCTAGTGGCTGGGAATGTGGCATGTGTCAGGATAGTTTCTGTTTGGTGTAAGCAACTCTCAGAAGGCGTAGCCTTCTAACCTAATTTAATCAGGAATGAGCTGCATCTCTAGGGATGCTATGTTCCCTTCAGCTACACATTCCCACATTGTTGAAAACTCTTGCAATTCCAAAACACAGAAGAAAATACTCCATCTTTGGCCCCGGATCAGCCTTTATATTTTATGTTTCCTGCCTGGCTGAATACTTAACATACTGTAGGCTCCTGAATCTTAGCTTACTGGTTTCACTCAGCCTCCTGCCTCCCTGGCAACACCAATGTATTTCTAATCTTTAAAATTCTATAAATATATCTTGAAATTGACCCCAAACCCTTGATGACATTACTTAATTCAAATCCTTTATTTGAAAATAGCTATTAAAATACATCATACAATATTGTAACAGTCAAGTGACTACATTAATATGCTTCATGAAATGTCTTTAATTACAAGGAAAGATTTCTGTATTAGTTAAAATGGAATAACTGCTATATTAAACAAACTCCAATATTTGATGATTTAAAACCATACAAGTTTATTGCTCATTTATGTAAGAGACTAGACTGGGTTCAGTTGGGGATGGTAGGAAGGGTCTGCTGCTCCACACAATTGAAACTTAGTGACCCAGGTTGCTGCAGGTTCTTCTATCAAAAAGTGGCTTCCTAGGTATTTGCATTTCACTGAAAAATAGGAAATGAGCACTGAGGATCATTAGGGAGGTTTTTATGGACTATGCCCAGGAAGGTCTGACATATGCTATTTCTACTGGCTTCCATTGGCTAGAACTCAGACACATGGCCACACCTAACTGAGAGGGAAGCTGGGAAATGTAGTTTTTGCATGTCCAGGAAGAATAGGAATTGGTTTGATAATATGTTATCACTACAATATTAAAGCTCTCTATTTCCCTGATCATTTAGTTTATTCCCTTTTATATACAATCACTAAATTGGCATTCAAGTCCATTTGGAGAGTGGGGCCAAATGAATATGAATACACTGTTCGGAAACCAAGAGGTAACTGCCTGCTATATAGTTTGCCTCTAAGAGAGAGAGAGAGTAAAAATGGAATTCTCAGAAAGGGATTGGAAGGAGTTCTCTAAGAACTTTTGGTAAGCAGGTTGGTAGCAGGGTAGGGGGTAAGAAGAGGAGGAGTATATAGGAATCCTATGGACCAGCCTGTAGGATAGAGGAGAGCTTTTGAAACAAGTTTTTTAAAAATTAGACATACAGAAATAGCGTAATGGAAGCAGTCAATAAGTAAAGGCAAAAGCAGTGGACTTCAAAAAGCAAACAAAAATCTGAGAATCAAAACTATAAGACACACTATAAAAACAAAAACAAATAAATAACAGTGTCTTTCTTTGCCAAGTGTCGATGTTTCTCCACCACTAAAGTGGAGGTGAGTTGTTGGGGAGAGCGCTACCAGAAGTCCAAAAGATGGCAAAAGAATTTTCAAAAGATTATGTAAACACACATTTTCTTCATAATTATAGCAATATGATAAGCTAATCACACTTTTATAAGATCAAACTTATGGTAATACTACCCTTCTTATTGTTCCTTCTTCAGAAGGTTGTATGTAGAAATTTCAGATCATTACAAATAAAATGTTTAGCACTTATTCTAAGGTTGATTTAAAATGGGATAAAAAGGGCCGGGAGCGGCTGCTCAGGCCTGTAATCCCAGCACTTTGGGAGGCTGAGGCAGGCAGATCACCTGAGGCCAGGAGTTGGAGACCACCCTGGCCAACATGGCAAAACCCGGTCTCTACTAAAAATACAAAAATTAGCTGGGTGTGGTGGCAGCTGCCTGTAATCGCAGCTACTCGGGAGGCTAAGGCGGGAGAATGGATTGAACCTGGGAGGCAGAGGTTGCAGTTAGCCGAGATCGTGCCATTGCACTCCGGCCTGGGCAACAAGAGAGAAACTCTGTCTCAGAAAAAAAAAAAAAAAAAAAAAAAGACATAGGATCCTGTCACCTAAGTGGCGAAATCAATAATGAATCCTTATGGTATTATGGTATTACAGGCTTTGTCTCCTTCTCAGTTTCATTTTCCCTGCTTTTCTACTCCTGCGTTCTGGGATCATGTCCTAAATAACCTACCTGCACCCAACTTGTTTCCTCAGACTCTACCTTTGGGGACACCCATTCTAAGATAGTAGATTTGAAGAATATTATTTTATAAATAAGGACACTGAGACACAGTCCAAAGTCATGTGGTCAATAAGTGATGGAGACATTATTACAAATTTAATCTGCTATAAATCCCATGCTTTTATGCTTTATCACCCCAGATGATCTCTAAGTCTCTTTTTCAGTTCTAATAATCTCTGAAATTATGCATATACATTATTTTTTCTGCTTTGCAATATGTTTTCAATCTCATCAAATATTCACTGAGTAATTAGTACCACGACAAGTATAAATGGTAAAAAGAAACTTTTTTTTTTGAGACAGAGTCTTGCTCCGTTGCCCAGGCTGGAGTGCAGTGGCAAAATATCAGCTCACTGCAAGCTCTGCCTGCTGGGTTCATGCCATCCTCCTGCCTCAGCCTCCTGAGTAGCTGCAACTACAGGGACCCGCCACCATGCCCGGCTAATTTTTTTGTATTTTTAGTAGAGACGGGGTTTCACCGCGTTAGCCAGGATGGTCTCGATCTCCTGACCTCGTGATCCACCCACCTCGGCCTCCCAAAGTGCTGGGATTACAGGAGTGAGCCACTGCACCCGGCCAAAAGAAAAATTTTTTAAGACACCACCTATATTATTAATATGCTCACCATATAAAGGGAGGAACAGAAATACACATTGTTATATTTAAATATTTAGCAGCATTTTCAATAGCATATTTTTAAAAGTTTTTTCATCAGCCTGTTGGAACAGTGTCAGCATTCTAAGAGTTTTCAGCATAAACAAAAGGATAACAAATCTCAATAAGCTGAAAGATGACATCCCCTGATGTCAACGCAGAAAATGATATTGGATATGAAGTCTCCTGAACTTTACATCCTGATTTAAACGCTGACCTTGCCTCAACTATTATTTGTGCTTTGGTTTTCTATATCTCCTCCATACTGAAAGATGAGAGGACACAAGAGAATTATCACCAATGACAATTTGTTTCAGGAAAAGTGGTGTTTGTAAAATACCATCTGAAGCACTCAAATCTCAATCAAGTCTAGTTTGTCACTGCCATAATCAGCCTGATGATGTTGCTGGAAAACTCATATATTATTTTTCTGAGATAGCAAAATAAAGATATCTATCACCAGCACCATTTCTGATTCATTTCAAAATATGTGACCATTCAGAAAATGGACCCTATTTATTTCATTGTTGTTCTTTCTCTATAATGTAAAATACTACATTGGATGTGTTTTATATATACATACACTTATATCTTTGAACAATTTTCAACTTATTGTTGAGAAAATAATAATTTTTGTGACTCTGCTATTCAGTACCATAAGCCAGGAAGGGTGGTATTACAATTTATCAGTCTCAACACTCTTGGGCAATGCAGCTAAATTGCCCACTTACTGCATTCCTAAGCTTATTTTTTTAAATGCATATGTATTATTTTAATTTCTGAGTCACTCATTTTGCCTGAAATTTCTATCTTATTCTAGTCATCTCTGTTTTTCAAACAACAATCAGCTATTGATGTTCATCCAGCTGTTACTATTCTTGGCAACTTCACATATTTCCTTACCAAAGTATTATCCCCTATCACTGGTGGTTGTTAAAGTCTGCTACACAGGTTTTTTTACTGGATAAGCTTCCAGTATTCCTCCATTTATGGCCCCCTTTTGTCTAGTAAAGAAGTGTTCTCTGGTTTCCTTGAAATGGCAATGCCAAAAGGAATGTGGCTGCAAACAAGGGGAAGCAGTTCATTAGAGAGCCAAATAACTCCTCTGCCAGGTTATGCTGCTAGGAGACTTCTCTTTATTGAATCATTTGCTGAGAAAATAACATTCTCTTACATAAACAAATTCCCTTTATTTTTCTTTTTTACATGTCGCTATAATATTGAAGTGATAACTGGAACAAGAGCAAATAAAAGACAACATCATTATGATGATATTCCCATGTCTTATTTATTTATGGTTTCCACCAACTTCAAAAGGGGTTTCATGAAACTCACAATAAAAGCAGAATTTGCATGAAAACTGGAACAAGACAAGGATGCTCTCTCTCACCACCCCTATTCAACATAGTACTGGAAGTGCTGGCCAGGGCAATCAGGCAAGAGAAAGAAATAAAGCATATTCAGATAGAAAGAGAGGGAGTCAAATTATCTTTGTTTGCAGATTACATGATCATGTATCTAGAAAACTCTATCATTTCAGCCCCAAAGCTTCTTAAGCTGATAAACAACTTCAGCAAAGTCTCAGGATACAAAATCAATGTGCAAAAATCTCTAGTATTCCTATTCACCAAGAACAGGCAAGCAGAGAGCCAAATTATGAATGAACTCATTTGCTACATTCACGATTGCTACAAGAGAATAAAACACCTAGGAACACAGATAACAAGGGAAGTGAAGGACCTCTTCAAGAAAAACTACAAACCACTGCTCAAGGAAATCAGAGAGGACAGAAACATATGAAAAAGTATTCCACGCTCATGGATAGAAAGAATCAATATTGTGAAAATGGCCATGATGCCCAAAGTAATGTATAGATTCAATGATATTCCCAATAAACTAACATTGACATTTTTCACAGAATTAGAAAAGCTATTTCAAAAATTCATATGGAGTGAAAAACAACCCATAGAGCTAAGACAATCCTAAGTAAAAAGAACAAACTGGAGGCAACATCATGCTTCCCAACTTCGAACAATACTACAAGGCTACAGTAAGCAAAACAGCATTGTATTGGTACAAAAACAGACACATAGACCAATGGAAAAATTAGAGAACTCACAAGTAAGACGACATACCTCCAACAATCTCATCTTCAAGAAACATGACAAATACAAGCAATGGGGAAAGGATTCCTTATTTAATAAATGCTGCTGGGAGAACTGGTTAGCCATATGCAGAAAATTGAAATTTGATCCCTTTCTTACACTTTATACAAAAATTAACTCAAGATGGATTAAAGACTTAAATGTAAAACCAAAAACTATAAAAACCTCTAGAGGAAAATCTAGGCAATACCATTCAGGACATAGGCATGGGCAAAGATTTCATGATGAAAATAGTGAAAGCATTGTTTCATGTGTCTGTTGGCTGCATAAATGTCTTCTTTTGAGAAGCGTCTGTTCATATCCTTCACCCACTTGTTGATGGGGTTGTTTGTTTTTTTCTTGTAAATTTGTTTGACTTCTTTGTAGATTCTGGATATTAGCCCTCTGTCAGATGAGTAGATTGCAAAAATTTTCTCCCATTCTCTAGGTTGCCTATTCACTCTGATGGTAGTTTCTTTTGTTGTGCGGAAGCTCTTTAGTTTAATTAGATCCCATTTGTCAATTTTGGCTTTTGTTGCCATTGCTTTTGGTGTTTTAGACATGAAGTCCTTGCCCATGCCTATGTCCTGAATGGTATCGCCTAGGTTTTATTCTAGGGTTTTTATGGTTTTAGGTCTAACATTTAAGTCTTTAATTCATCTTGAATTAACTTTTCTATAAGGTGTAATGATGGAATCCAGTTTCAGCTTTCAACATATGGCTAGCCAGTTTTCCCTGCACCATTTGTTAAACAGGGAATCTTCCCCATTTCTTGTTTTTGTCAGGTTTGTCAAAGATCAGATGGTTGTACATGTGTGGTATTATATCTGAGGGCTCTGTTCTGTTTCATTGGTCTATGTCTCTCTTTTGGTAACAGAACCATGCTGTTTTGGAAGCTTTGTAGTATAGTTTGAAGTCAGGTAGCGTGACGCTTCCAGCTTTGTTCTTTTGGCTTAGGATTGACTTGGTGATGCGGGCTCTTTTTTGGTTCCATATGAACTTTAAAGTAGTTTTTTCCAGTTCTGTGAAGAAAGTCATTGGTAGCTTGATGGGGATGACATTGAATCTATAAATTACCTTGGGCAGTATGGCCATTTTCACGATATTGATTCTTCCCACCCATGAGCATGGAATATTCTTCCAGTTCTTTCTATCCTCTTTTATTTTGTTGAGCAGTGGTTTGCAGTTCTCCTTGAAGAGGTCTTCACATCCCTTGTAAGTTGGATTCCTAGTTATTTTATTCTCTTTGAAGCAATTGTGAATGGGAGTTCACTCATGATTTGGCTCTCTGTTTGTCTATTATTGGTGCATAAGAATGCTTGTGATTTTTGCACATTGATTTTGTATCCTGAGACTTTGCTGCTTAAGTTGCTTATCAGCTTAAGGAGATTTTGGGCTGAGATGATGGGGTTTTCTATATATACAATTAAGTCATCTGCAAACAGGGACAATTTGACTTCCTCTTTTCCTAATTGAATACCCTTTATTTCTTTCTCCTGCCTGATTGTCCTGGCCAGAACTTCCAACACTATGTTGAATAGGAGTGGTGAGAGAGGGCATCCCTGTCTTGTGCCAATTTTCAAAGAGAATGCTTCCAGTTTTTGCCCATTCAGTATGATACTGGTGGTGGGTTTGTCATAAATAGCTCTTATGATTTTGAGATACATCCCAATAATACCTAATTTATTGAAAGTTTTTAGCATGAAGTGTTGTTGAATTTTGTCTAAGGCCTTTTCTGCATCTATTGAGATAATCATGTGGTGTTTGTCTTTGGTTCTGTTTATATGCTGGATTACGTTTATTGATTTGCATATGTTGAACCAGCCTTGCATCCCAGGAATGAAGCCTACTTGATCATGGTGGATAAGCTTTTTGATGTGCTGCTGAATTCTGTTTGCCAGTATTTTACTGAGGATTTTTGCATCGATGTTCATCAGGGATATTGGTCTAAAATTGTTTTTTTTTGTGTGTGTGTCTCTGCCAGGCTTCAGTATCAGGATGATGCTGGCCTCATAAAATGAGTTAGGGAGGATTTCCCTCTTTTTCTAATGATTGGAATAGTTTCAGAAGGCATGGTACCAGCTCCTCCTTGTACCTCTGGTAGAATTCAGCTGTGAATCCATCTGGTCCTTCCTGGACTTTTTTTGGTTGGTAAGCTGTTAATTATTGCCTCAATTTCAGAGCCTGTTATTGGTCTATTCAGAGATTCAACTTCTTCCTGATTTAGTCTTGGGAGGGTGTATGTGTCCAGGAATTTATCCGTTTCTTCTGGATTTTCTAGTTGATTTGTGTAGAGGTGTTTATAGTATTCTCTGATGGTAGTTTGTATTTCTGTGGAATTGGTGGTGATATCCCCTTTATCATTTTTTATTGCATCTATTTGATTCTTCTCTCTTTTCTTCTTGCTAGTGGTCTATCAATTTTGTTGATCTTTTCAAAAAATCAGCTCCTGGATTCATTGATTTTTTGAAGGGTGTTTTTGTGTCTCTATCTCGTTCAGTTCCGCTCTTATCTTAATTATTTCTTGCCTTCTGCTAGCTTTTGAATGTGTTTGCTCTTACTTCTCTAGTTCTTTTAATTGTGATGTTAGGGTGTCAATGTTAGATCTTTCCTGCTTTCTCTTGTGGGCATTTAGTGCTATAAATTTCCCTCTACACACTGCTTTAAATGTGTCCCAGAGATTCTGGTATGTTGTGTTTTTGTTCTCATTGGTTTCAAAGAACATCGTTATTTCTGCCTTCATTTTGTTATGTACCCAGTAGTCATTCAGGAGCAGGTTGTTCAGTTTCCATATAGTTGAGTGGTTTTAAGTGTTTCTTAATCCTGAGTTCTAGTTTGATTGCTCTGTGGTCTGAGAGACAGTTTGTTATAATTTCTATTCTTTTACATTTGCTGAGGAGTGCGTTACTTCCAACTATTGGTCAATTTTGGAATAAGTGTGATGTGTTGCTGAGAAGAATGTATATTATGCTGATTTGGGGTGGAGGGTTCTGTAGATGTCTATTAGGACTGCTTGGTGCAGAGCTGAGTTCAAATCCTGGATATCCTTTTTACTTTCTGTCTCATGGATTGCCGAATGTTGACAGTGGGGTGTTAACGTCTCCCATGATTATTGTTTGGGAGTCTAAGTCTCTTTGTAGGTCTCTAAGGACTTGCTTTATGAATTTGGGCACTCCTATATTGGGCGTATATATATTTAGTATAGTTAGCTCTTCTTGTTGAATTGATCCCTTTACCATTATGTAATGGCCACATGCAAATCAAAACCACAATGAGATACCATCTCACACCAGTTAGAATGGCGTTCATTAAAAAGTCAGAAAACAACAGGTGCTGGAGAGGATGTGGAGAAATAGGGGTACTTTTACACTGTTGGTTGGACTGTAAACTAGTTCAACCATTGTGGAAGTCAGTGTGGTGATTCCTCGGGGATCTAGAACTAGAAATACCATTTGACCCAGCCATCCCATTACTGGGTATATACCCAAAGGATTATAAGCCATGCTGCTATAAAAACACATGCACACATATGTTTACTGTGGCACTATTCACTATAGCAAAGACTTGAACCAACCTAAATGTCCAACAATGATAGACTGGATTAAGAAAACGTGGCACAAATACACCATGGAATACTATGCAGCCATAAAAAAATGGCGAGTTCATGTCCTTTTAGGGACATGGATGAAGCTGGAAACCATCATTCTCAGCAAACTATCACAAGGACAAAAAACCAAGCACCACATGTTCTCACTCATAGTTGGGAACTGAACAATGAGAACACATGGACACAGGAAGGGGAACATCACCCACCAGGGCCTGTTGTGCAGTGGGGGGAGAGGGGATGGATAGCATTACAAGATATACCTAATGTAAATGACAAATTAATGGGTGCAGCACACCAATATGGCACATGTTTACATATGTAACAAACCTGCACTTTGTGCACATATACCCTAGAACTTAAAGTATAATAAAAAAAATTTAAAGGAAGAAAATAATGAAAGGAATTTTGACAAAAGTAAAAATGGACAAATGGGATCCAATTTAACTAATGAGCTTCTGAACAGCAAAATAAATTATCAGTGTAAACAGACAACCTACAGAATGGGAGAAAATCATTGACAGACAACCTACAGAATGGGAGAAAATCATTGCAGTCTATCCTTCTGGCAAAGGTCTAATATCCAGAGTCTACAAGGAGCTTAAACAAATTTACAAGAAAAATACCATACAACCCCATTCAAAAGTGGGTAAAGGATATGAACAGACACTTCTCAAAAGGAGACATTCATGCAGCCAAAAAGCATATAAAACAAATCTCAACATCACTGATCATCAGAGAAATGCAAATCAAATCCACAATGAGATATCATCTCTTGACAGTCGGAATGGAGATTATTAAAAAGTCAAGAAACAGCAGTTGCTGGCAAGGTTTTGGAGAAAAAGGGACGTTTTTACACTGTTAATGGGAGTGTAAATTATTTCAAAAATTCAATTATTGTGGAAGATAGTGTGGTCATTTCTCAAAGACCTAGAGGCAGAAATACCATTTGACCCAGCAATCCCATTACAGGGTATATACCTGAAAGAATATAAATTATCCTATTATAAAAGTACATGATTGTGTATGTTCATTTCAGCACTATTCACAATAGCAAAGCCAGGGAATCAACCAAAATGCCTATTAATTATAGACTGCATAGAGAAAACGTGGCACATGTATACTATGAGATATTATATAGCCATAAGAAGGAATGAGATCATATCCTTTGCAGGGACATGGATGGAGGTGGAAGCCATTTTCCTCAGCAAACTAAAGGCAGAACAGAAAACCAAACACTGCATGTTCTCACTTATAAGAGGGAACTGAACAACAAAAACATGTGGACACATGGGAGGGAAGAACATACTGAGCCTTGTTGAGTCAGGGAGGGAGAGCATCAGGAAGAATAGCTAATGGATGTTGGGCTTAATACCTAGGTGATGGGTTGATCTGTGCAGCAAACCACCATGGCACACATTTACTTATGTAACAAACCTGCACATCCTGCACATGTATCCCAGAACTTAAAATAAAAGTAGAAAAAACAAAAGAAATGAGGTGTTGATTCATTGCCTAGGCTAAAAAACCACATTCTTATTTAACTGGCTCAACTAGCACATATTGTTCCCTTTACTTGAAATACTCTTCCCACTTCTTGCTAGATAAACTTGCCTTGTCCTTCAGATACTTTCTGAGACATCAACTGTGCCAGGAAATCCTCCTTGACCCCCTCAAAACTAAATTGGATGTCTACTCCATGTGTTATCTTACCTCTATCATAGCACTTAATGCATAGTAAGTTGTTTCTTCTTTGTCTCTTTTGCTAGTTTCCAAGTTTCTAGAGGGAAAAGATGGTGCTAACCACAGAGTAATTCCTCAATAAATATTTATTGAAAGAACAAATAAATAATATCATGAAGATAAAAATTTGCTAGACCCATGTTGGTCACCACGAAGATGCAAAATTTCCTGACATACCAAAATATTTTAAAATCTCTTAATAGAAAATATTTAAAGTAACTATCAAGGAAGATAAATTTAGGAGAAATTAAAGAAAGAGTATTCAGGCATACATGTGTTAAGGGAGGGATCCAGCAGATAGATTATATCCTCACCTCACCTCAACTTCAGAAAGATACTTAAGTATCTAGAAACCATTGGCTCTAGATACTTGATGATCTTTCTGTCAAATGATTTATGTGATAGAATAATTCTACCATTATGAAATTTTTAGAGGTATAATAGAAGGAGGGTCAGATTTCTTAGTTTTATCACAGTAAAAAGATCCAGGGTTGATGGAAAGACTAATTTGAAATGTTCCAGCCTTCCCCCTCTCATTTAATTTCATTATTGTGATAAAGTGAGAGTTTTCTGCAGGGAGACAGTGAGGAAAGACAGAGCAAAAGTAGCATAATTTGGGGTCATTGGGTTGAAAATGATTGACTACTATTAATAATGTTACATTAACCTGTTTTTCTCCTGTTCTGGGAAGTGAACTGAACACTCCAAATAATTTTGGCATTCACAGCAATTCAAACATCATCTACAAAGCTCCATTTGGTTGGTTATGACCTCAAATGGAAATAGAAGGTGCTGGCTAATCCAGCGAATGCAATATATTTATGGAAAATCAAATCTTTTTATTACATTGGAAAACTTTGAATTAACAGCATAGAGAAAAAGTGATGAATACACTTGCAATAACATATATTTTCATTTGATTTGGCCTTATGTAAGTAAATTATTTAGAACAGTTATATGTCCTTAGTGATCTTCCTTCTATTCTTCCATTGATATGTGCACATGACTCTCTTTTCTATCCAAAGGAATTTTCTTTCCCTGGGTGTTACACCGTAAACAATAATGGGGGAAGAAACAAAGATTGGCTATGTAATCAGCCGATTATGAATGACTTTCAGCTCCTATTAAGGCAAACCAAACATGATTCAACTAAATTCACTCAGAAAGCCCAGGTGTTCTTAGTTTAGAAATATGGAATGCCTGAAGTCTGAGTTTCATAGATCCTCTGAGATGGCCTCAGTTTTAAACAATACTTTATTTCCAGTAAGACAGTTGTGATAATCCTGGTAGCTATATATAGAGAGAAAGTAATATGTATGTTTCAAAGCACATAATTTTGAAAAATCTTTCAAAGCACATAGTTGGAGAAATCCATGTATCGCTTTCTTTAAGAAATTTCAAAGACATATGTTCCACTGTAATATCTATATAATTTCAATGAAGTATATAAAGCTACAAATGAATGAAGAAAATAAAAATAGCATTTCTTTCCTATTAATTTAATTGTTTTGACCTAAAAATACTTTAAAATGTGGCTAATATACTCATCTCACTTACAATATTGAATGTAGATAACTGATTAAATATGCTTTCAAGTCCTGTGGTTCTTATAAGATTTCTCAGAAATCTACCACCACCCACTCAAGGAGAATTATTATTTACATGTTAACAACGTATACTTAATTACCAACATAAGATATATGTGTACAAAACTCCACTTTGAAAATAAAACATTTGTGGAGATAAGTAAATAGTAGAAACAATGCCCTACAATGATTCAACGTCTTTCTTCCTGTAATGTGATGGCCTTTTACAAAGTGGTAAAAGGAAAGAAAGAGCACAAAAAAATATGCCACAAGTTCCAACTCAAATGTACATTTATTGAAAGCTGTTATGGGAACCCTTTTTCCTTCATCTCTATAGAGCTAGCAAGTCCTCAAGATCCAGACCAAATCTTGAAGGATAGTAGCAGCTCCCTTCTCTGGGTTTATACTACACAGAATCTCCAATGTATTTCTGTTGGGTGTTTAATATTCATCGTCACTGATTTTAGTTCTGAATGCATATAATAGATTTTTGGGGGGATCTATGTACCATATTTTACTTTTGTGTGTGTGTGTGTGTGTGTGACAAGGTCTCACTCTGTTGCTCAGGCTGAAGGGCAGTGGTGCAATCTCAGCTCACTACAGGCTCGACCACCCAGTCTCAAGCGATCATCCTCCCACCTCAGCCTCCTAAGTAGCTGGGCACACAAGCATGTGCCACCATGCCTGGCTGATTTTTTTATTTTTTGTAGAAACAAGGTCTCACTATGTTGCTCACGCTGGTCTCAAACTCCTGGGCTCAAGCAGTCCTCCTGCTGTAGCCTACCAAAGTGCTGCATGAGCCACCATGCCCAGTCTACACTCTGAATCTATGAAGTAATTCCTGTTCTTATCTCTCCTCATCTTGAAAGATTAAGTGAAAAGACTAACATAATAGTGGACTTTATTTGGCAGACATTTAAGGAGGCAGCAGATACAGTAGAGAGGGCAATCATGGGCTTTAGAGCCAGTCAGTACTGCATGAATAATATATTGAGCACCCATCTATTATTCTTCACCAAGTTCTCCAATTGAATCACGTTTATTTTCTTGCTTCTCTTCTCTTTAAGTACATATATATGTACACTCTGTAAAGTATATATATATATAATATACTCTTTAAGTATATATATATTTATACACTCTCTAAATATATATATTCTATCTATAAATACATGAGTGTATGTATATATGCACATACAAAAAAATACTTTTTCTGAACCACTTTAGGATAAGTTTTAGACATTACAGCAATTCAACTTTTAATACTTTAGCATTTGTATTCCAAGAACAAAAATGTTTTGTCTTCTCGGTAAAATTATTCACATTCAAGAAATTTAAACTTGTTATAATATATGTATATATAATATATGTTAACTAATATATAGTACATATTGAATTTTTTTCAATTACCTAACAGTGTCTTTTTTTTGCAATCTTTTTATATATTTCCAATTTAGGGTCTAATCCAGATCACACATTGAATTTAGATGACATATCTCTTCTGTTTTTCAAATTTTTATTTCTTTTATTTTTACTTAGTTAGTTTTTCTTCCTAGCTTCTATTTTAGGTTTGGCACGTACACGTGCAGATTTTTTACCTGGGTAGACTGTGTGTCATGGGGGTTTGATAAACAGGTTACTTCTTCAACTAGATAATAAGCATAGTACCTGATAGGTGATTTTTTTTATTTTCACCCTCCTCCCACCCTCCAGCCTCAGGTAGGCTCTGGTGTCTGCTGTTCTCTTTTCTGTGTCCATGTGTACTCAGTGTTTAGTTCCCACTTAAGTCAGAACATGTGGTATTTGGTTTTCTGTTCCTGTGTTAATTTGCATAGGATAAAGGGCTCCAACTTCATCCATGCTGTTATAAAGGACATGATTCTGTACATTTTTATTGCTGTGTAGTATTCCATGGTGTATATGCACCATATTTTCTTTCCAGTCCAACAGCGATGGGCACTTAGGTTAATTCCATATACTTGCTATTGTGAATAGTGCCATGATGAACATATGAGTCCATATGTCTTTATCATAGAAGGAAATGATTCAAACTTCTGGATATTCACTATGATATTGGCTGTGGGTTTGTAGTAGATAGCTGTTTTTATTTTGAGGTATATTCCTTCAATGCCTAGTTTATTGAGGGTTTTTAACATGAAGGGATGTTAAATTTTATGGAAAAATTTTGTATTTCTATTGAAATGATCATGTGTTTTTTTATTTTAGTTCCATTTATGTGATGAATCACATTTATTGATTTGCCTATGGTGAGTCAACCTCGCATCTCAGGAAAGAAGATCTCTTGATCATGGTGGATTAGCTTTTTGAATGCTGTTGAATTCAGTGTGCTAGTATTTTATTGAGGACTTTTGCATCTATGTTCATCAGAGCTATTGGCCTGAAGTTGTCTTTTTTGTTGTATCCCTGCCAGGTTTTGATATTAGAATGACGGTGGCCTAATAGAATGGGTTAGGGAAGGGTTTTGGAATAGTTTCAAGGTTTTGGAATAGTTTCAGTAGGATTAATACAGTTCTCTTTAAGTCTGGTAGAATTCAACTATGAATCCATCTAGTCCAGGGATTTTCTGGTTGGTAGGTTTTTTATTATTCATTCAGTTTCAGAACTCATTATTGGTCTGTTCAGTTTCTTCCTGGTTCAATCTTGGGAAGTTCCATGTTTCCAGTAATGTATCCCTTTCTTCTACATTTTCCAGTTTGTGTGCAAAGAGGTGTCTGTAATAATAAATTTCTGTGGGGGTAGTTGTAATGTCACCTTTGTCTATTCTGATTGTGTTTGTTGGGATCTTCTCTCTCTTTTTATTAGTCTAGCTAGTGGTCTATCAATCTTATTTCTTCTTTCAAATAACAAACTTCTAATTTTATCAATCCTTTGCATAGTTTTTTTGCATCTCAATTTAATTCAGTTCAGATGTAATTTTAGCTATTTCTTTTCTCCTGCTAGCTTTGGAGTTGGTTTGGTCTTGTCTTCCTACTTCCTCTAAGTGTGCTGTTAGGTTTTTAATTTGAGATCTTTCTAACTTTTCAATGTGGGTATTTACTGATATAAACTTTCCTCTTATCTCGGCTTTAGTTGTGTCCCAGAGATTCTGGTATGTTTTGTTTTTGTTTTCATTAGTTTCAAAAATTTTCTTGATGTTTGCCTTAATTTCATTGTTTACTCAAAAGTCATTTAGGAGCAGGTTATTTAATTTCTATGTCGTTGTATCATTTGGGGGTATCTTTTTAAGTATTAATTCTTACTTTTATTGTGTTGTGGTCTAAGAGTGTGCTTGGTATGATTTTGTATTTTTTTAAATTTGTTGAGAATTGTTTTACAGCTGAGCGTGTGGCCTATTTAGAATACATGCAATGTACAGATGAGAAGAATGTATATCCTGTTGTTGTTGGATAAAGTATTCCCTAAATGTCTGTTAGGTTCATTTGGTCCAGTGTTGAGTTTAGATTCCTAATATCTTTGTTACTTTTCTGCCTTGATGATCCATTTAATACTGTCAGTGGGTGGTTGAAGTCTAGCCTTGTTATTGTGTGGTTAACAAGCCACTTCATAGGTCTCTAAATCTGGTTGCTCCAGGGTTGGGTGCAGAGATGTTTAGGATAGTTAAGTCTTCTTGTTGAATTGAGCCTTTTATCACTATGTAATGCCCTTCTTTGTCTTTTTTGATCATTGGTGACTTAAAGTCTTTTTTTTTTTCTGAAATAAAAACAGCAATCCCTTCTCTTTTTTAATTTCCCATTTGCTTGGTAGCTTTTTTCTCCATCCGTTTACTTTGAACCTATAGATGTCTGTTCATATGAGATGGGTATCTTGAAGACAGTGCTACTGGGTCTTGCTTCTTTATCCAACATGCCACTCTACTTTTTAAGTGGAGCATTTAGCCTGTTTATGGTCAAGGTTAATATTGATGTGTGGATTTTGTTCTGTCATCATGTTGTTAGGTGGTTTTTATGCACATTTGATTTTGTACTTGCTTTATAGTGTTGATGATCTATGCACTTAAGTGTGTTGTGTGGTAGCCAGTAACAGTCTTTTGTTTCCATGGTTAGCACTCTCTTAAGGACCTCTGGTATGTCAGATCTGCTTCTTTTAGCATTTGCTTGCCTGAAAAGGATTTTATTTATCTTTCACTTATGAAGCTTAGTTTGACTGGATATAAAATTCTTGACTGGGGCCAGGCACGGTGGCTCATGCCTGCAATCCCAGCACCACTTTGGAAGGCCGAGGTGGGCAGATACGTGAGGTCAGGAGTTCGAGACCAGCCTGACAAACATGGTGAAACCCTGTCTCTACTAAATACAAAAAATTAGCTGGGTGTGGTGGCACATGTCTGTAATCCCAGCTACTTGGGAGGCTGAGGCAGGAAAATCACCTGAATCTGGGTGGCAGAGGTTACAGGGAGCCAAGATTGTGCCATTGCACTCCAGCCTGAGCAACAAGAGCGAAAAATCCGTATCAAAAATAAAATAAATTCTTGGTTGAAATTCCTTTTTTAAAGAATGCTGAATATTGGCCACTAATTTATTCTGGCTTGTAGGATTTCTGCTGAAAGGTTAGCTATTAGCCTGATGTGGTTCTCTGCCCCTCCTACTTAGCAGTCTTAAGTATTTTTTCTTTCTTTCTTAGAGAATCTGATGACTATGTCTTGGGGATGGTCATCTTGTAGAGTATCTTAGAGTTTCTCTGCATTTCCTGAATTTGAATGTCGACCTCATTAGCAAAGTTGGGGAAATTTTCATAGAAAATATCCTCAAATATGTTTTCCAAGCTGCTTGCTCCCTCTCCCTCTCTTTCAGAGACACAAATGAGTCATAGGTTGGTCTTTTTACATAATACCATGTTTCTCTAGGTTAGTTCATTCTTTTTTATTCCTTTTCTTTTTGGCTTTTCAACTTAAGCTTTAATATATCAATAATTACCTTAAATATAAATAGCCCAAATACACAAATCAAAAGACAGAGATTGACAGATTATATAATAAAACACAGCCCATCTATATGCTGTTTAAAAGAAATTCACTTCGAATTCTACAAAAAGGAGTGTATACAATAATATCTAACAAAGTGAATGAGAAAAAGAGGCACATTACTTAATAATAGAAGAATCAATCCATCAGGAAGACACATGATTCTAAATATGTGCTCACCAAATAACAGAGCCATAATATATATAAAACAAAAAGATAGACCTGAAAGAAAAAATTGAAAAATCCACAGTTAGAGTTGGGGATTTTGACACTCACCTCTCACTAACTGATAGAACTACTAGACAGAAAATCAGCAAGGACATAGAGGATCTGAACAATACAATCAACGAATATGATCTAATTAGCATGTATAGAACTCTACAGTCAATAACAGCAGATTTCATTTATTTTTTTTTTCCACCTTTCTAAAGAGTTTATTCTTTCTTTAATTTCTTTTCTTTTTTTATTATACTTTAAGTTTTAGGGTACATGTGCACAATGTGCAGGTTAGTTACATATGTATACTATGTTTGTGTACTGCACCCATTAACTCATCATTTAACATTGGGTATATCTCCTGATGCTATCTCTCCCCCTACCCCACAACAGGCTCCAGTGTGTGATGTTCCCCTTCCTATGTCCATGTGTTCTTATTGTTCAATTCCCACCTATGAGTGAGAACATGAGGTGTTTGGTTTTTTGTCCTTGCAATAGTTTGCTGAGAATGATGGTTTCCAGGTTTAACCATGTCCCTACAAAGGACATGAACTCATCATTTTTTATGGCTGCATAGTATTCCATGGTGCATATGTGCCACATTTTCTTAATCCAGTCTATTGTTGTTGGACATTTGGCTTGGTTCCAAGTCTTTGCTATTGTGAATAGTGCCACAATAAACATACTTGTGCATGTGTCTTTATAGCAGCATGATTTATAATCCTTTGGGTATATACCCAGGAATGGGATGGCTGGGTCAAATGGTATTTCTAGTTCTAGATCCCCAAGGAATCACCACACTGACTTCCACAATGGTTGAACTAGTTTACACTCCAACCAACAGTGTAAAAGTGTTCCTATTTCTCCACATCCTCTCCAGCACCTGCTGTCTCCTGACTTTTTAATGATCGTCATTCTAACTGGTGTGAGATGGTATCTCATTGTGGTTTTGATTTGCATTTCTCTGATGGCCAGTGATGGTGAGCATTTTTTCATGGGTATTTTGACTGCATAAATGTCTTCTTTTGAGAATAGTCTGTTCATATCCTTCACCCACTTTTTGTTGGGGTTGTTTGTTTTTTTCTTGTAAATTTGTTTGAGTTCATTGTACATTCTGGATATTAGCCCTTTGTCAGATGAGTAGATTGCAAAAATTTTCTCCCATTCTGTAGGTTGCCTGTTCATTCTGATGGTAGTTTCTTTTGCTGTGCAGAAGCTTTTTAGTTGAATTAGATCCCATTTGTCAATTTTTGCTTTTGTTGCCATTGCTTTTGGTGTTTTAGACATGAAGTCCTTGCCCATGCCTATGTCCTGAATGGTGATGCCTAGGTTTTCTTCTAGGGTTTTTGTGGTTTTAGGTCTAACGTTTAAGTCTTTAATCCATCTTGAATTGATTTTTGTATAAGGTGTAAGGAAGGGATCCAGTTTCAGCTTTCTACATATGACTAGCCAGTTTTCCCAGCACCATTTATTAAATCTGGAATCCTTTCCCCATTGCTTGTTTTTCTCAGGTTTGTCAAAGATCAGATAGTTGTATATATGCAGCATTATTTCTGAGGGCTCTGTTCTGTTCCACTGATCTATATCTCTGTTTTGGTACCAGTACTGTGCTGTTTTGGTTACTGTAGCCTTGTAGTATAGTTTGAAGTCAGATTACATGATGCTTCCAGCTTTGTTCTTTTGGCTTAGGATTGACTTGGCGATGCAGACTCTTTTTTGGTTCCATATGAACTTTAAAGTAGTTTTTTCCAATTCTGTGAAGAAAGTCATTGGTAGCTTGATGGGGATGGCATTGAATCTGTAAATTACCTTGGGCAGTATGGCTATTTTCACGATATTGATTCTTCCTGCCCATGAGCATGGAATGTTCTTCCATTTGTTTGTATCCTCTTTTATTTCATTGAGCAGTGGTTTGTAGTTCTCCTTGAAGAGGTCCTCCACGTCCCTTGTAAGATAGATTCCTAGGTATTTTATTCTCTTTGAAGCAATTGTGAATGGAAGTTCACTCATGATTTGTCTCTCTGTTTGTCTGTTATTGGTGTATAAGAATGCTTGTGATTTCTGCACATTGATTTTGTATCCTGAGACATTGTTGAAGTTGCCTATCAGCTTGAGGAGATTTTGGGCTGAGATGATGGGTTTTTCTAGATATACAATTATGTCATCTGCAGACAGGGACAATTTGACTTCCTCTTTTCCTAATTGAATACCCTTTATTTCCTTCTCCTGCCTGATTGCACTGGCCAGAACTTCCAACACTATGTTGAATAGGAGTGGTGAGAGAGGGCATCCCCGTCTTGTGCCAGTTTTCAAAGGGAATGTTTCCAGTTTTTGCCCGTTCAGTATGATATTGGCTGTGGGTTTGTCATAAATAGCTCTTATTATTTTGAGATATATCCCATCAATACCTAATTTATTGAGAGTTTTTAGCATGAAGGGCTGTTGAATTTTGTCAAAGGCCTTTTCTGCATCTATTGAGATAATCATGTGTTTTTTGTCTTTGGTTCTGTTTCTATGCTGGATTACATTTACCGGTTTGCCTATGTTGTATGAGCCTTGCATCATAGGGGTGAAGCCCACTTGATCATGGTGGATAAGCTTTTAGATGTGCTGCTGGATTCGGTTTGCCAGTATTTTATTGAGGATTTTTGCATAGATGTTCATCAGGGATATTGGTCTAAAATTCTTTTTCTTTTTGTCACGTCTCTGCCAGGCTTTGGTATCAGGATGATGCTGGCCTCATAAAATGAGTTAGGGAAGAGTCCCTCTTTTTCTATTGATTGGAATAGTTTCAGAAGGAATGGTACCAGCTCCTCCTTGTACCTCTGGTAGAATTCAGCTGTGAATCTGTCTGGTCCTGGAGTTTTTTTTTGCTTGGTAAGATATTAATTATTGCCTCAGTTTCAGAACCTGTTATTGGTCTATTCAGAGATTCAACTTCTTCCTGGTTTAGTCTTAGGAGGCTGTATGTGTCCAGTAATTTATCTATTTCTTCTAGATTTTCTAGTTTATTTGCATAGGGGTGTTTTTAGTATTCTCTGATGGTAGTTTCTATTTCTGTGGGATTGGTGGTGATATCCCCTTTATCATTTCTTATTGCATCTATTTGATTCTTCTATCTTTTCTTCTTTATTAGTCTTGCTAGCAGTCTATCAATTTTGTTGATCTTTTCAAAAAATCAGCTCCTGGATTCATTGATTTTTTGAAGGGTTTTTTGTGTCTCTATTTCCTTCAGTTCTGCTCTTGTCTTAATTATTTCTTGCCTTCTGCTAGCTTTTGAATGTGTTTGCTCTTACTTCTCTAGTTCTTTTAATTGTGATGTTAGGGTGTCAGTGTTAGATCTTTCCTGCTTTCTCTTGTGGGCATTTAGTGCTATAAATTTCCCTCTACACACTGCTTTAAATGTGTCCCAGAGATTCTGGTATTTTTTGTCTTTGTTTTCGTTGGTTTCAAAGAACATCTTTATTTCTGCCTTCATTTCATAATGTCCCCAGTAGTCATTCCAGGGCAGGCTGTTCAGTTTCCATATAGTTGAGTGGTTTTGAGTGAGTTTCTTAATCCTGAGTTCTAGTTTGATTGCACTGTGGTCTGAGAGACAGTTTGTTATAATTTCTACTCTTTTACATTTGCTGAGGAGTGCTTTACTTCCAACTGTGTGGTCAGTTTTGGAATAGGTGTGGTGCTGAGAAGAATGTATATTCTGTTGATTTGGGGTGGAGAGTTCTGTAGATGTCTTTGTAGGTCTGCTTGGTTCAGAGCTGAGTACAACTCCTGGATATCGTTGATAACTTTCTGTCTCATTGATCTGTCTAATGTTGACAGTGAGGTGTTAATGTCTCCCATAATTATTGTGGGGGAGTCTAAGTCTCTTTGTAGGTCTCTAAGGACTTGCTTTATGAATCTTGGTGCTCCTGTATTGGGTGCATATATATTTAGGATAGTTAGCTCTTCTTGTTGAATTGATCCCTTTACCATTATGTAATGGCCTTCCTTGTCTCTTTTGATCTTTGCTGGTATAAGTCTGTTTTATCAGAGGCTAGGATTGCAACATCTGCCTTCTTTTTGTTTTCCATTTGCTTGGTAGATCTTCCTCCATCCCTTTATTTTGAGCCTATTTGTGTTTCTACATGTGAGATGGGTTTCCTGAATACAGCACACTGATGGGTCTTGACTCTTTATTCAGTTTTGCAGTCTGTGTCTTTTATTTGGAGCATTTAGCCCATTTACATTTAAGGATAATATTGTTATGTGTGAATTCGATCCTGTCATTTTGATGTCAGCTGTCATTTTGATTTGCTCATTAGTTGAGACACTTTCTTCCTAGCCTTGATGGTCTTTACAATTTGGCATATTTTTGCAGTGGCTGGTACCAGTTGTTCCTTTTCATGTTAGGAATTTGAGGCCAGCCTGGCCTACATGGAGAAACTCTACTAGAAATACAAAAATTAGCTGGGTGTGGAGGTGCATGCCTGTAATAATTCCAGCTACTCAGGAGGCTGAGGCAGGAGAATCACTTGAACTCTGAGTGATGGAGTGAGACTCTGTCTCAAAACAAACAAAAAAATACCCTTCTGATTGTATTATGAAATTCTTGTGGTGAGTTTTTCAGCTCTATCAGATGAGTTTGGTACCCTCTTACAATTGCTCTTTCATCTTTCAGCTCCTATCATTTTATTGGATTCCTTCAATTGGGTTGGGTTTTTACTTTCTCCTGAATCTAATCATTTTTTTTCTATCCATATTCTGAATTCTATGTCTGTTTTTTCTGCCATTTCAATCTGGCTAAGAACCGTTGCTGGGGAGGTAGTATGGACATTTGCAAGTAAGAAGACACTCTGGCTTTTTGAGTTGCCAGAGTTCTTGTGCTGGTTCTTTATCTTCTGTGTGGACTGATGTATCTTTAATTTTTGAAGTTGCTGTCCTTTGGATGGGGTTTTTTGCTTTTATATTCTTTGATGTCCTTGAGGGTTTGACTGTGGTATATTGGCTTTAGTTGGGTGGCTTTGTTTATGGATATTTCAGGGGGCCAAGGCTCATCTCAGCACTCCTGGGCTGCATACTCTAAACCTAGGGGCTGGTACCAGGTCTGTGCCTTTGTTCTCTATCCACTCAAGGTTAAGCACCTGCTGTGTTGGAGGAACTGAGGTGTTCCCAGTCCACTGGCAACAATACTCTGATGGGGGATGCTGGCAAAAAAAGTATTTCATTGGAGTGGTGCCATCAGGGTCATGTGTGGAGGCAGGGTGATGGTGTCTATGCACATGTACCTCTTTTTTTGAGCTACAATAGTTTCTCAACCTTTCTTCATCTTTCATAATATTGTTCTGGCAACAATTTTAATGGCACCCCTTTCACTCTCAAAAGCTTCCTAGTTTGGACAATAAATATCACTTTATTTATGTGTGATTGGGGATAATGTTTGATGAATATTCTGCATCATCAGAGTACTTTGAGCAGAGAGCACTGGCACTTGAATTAAAGGATGATTGCATAGCAACTATACTGATAGAGCCACCAGAATGACCAGAGATGTATCTCTCAGAGCTATTTCTTTTCATTTCAGAGTAGTGACTTAGTAACCTTATCCTTTTTTCCTAGAGAGGATTCGTCTACATTCCATAGCAAAGTTTCACTTTCTTTTTCCAAGAGGAGAATGTCAGACCTTGCAGCACCCTATGTAAGCTCCAGGTTTCATATTTCAGAACTCCTCTTCTTTGGTACAAATTTAGCTCTCACTGCATGGCTTGCAGGGATTTGTGACATGGAGACTCGTGAAAGATGTTCCATGATTAAATGGTCTTTCCACTGACCTAGAGGTCTTAAGTTTCTGCAGAATGGTAACTCTTCAGTTTGCAAGTAGGGTAGCATCCCAGATCCCTCAGAGTTTCAGGCTTATCAATTTGTCATTAAGAATTTAGTCCAAAATGTCCTGAGGTACACTGCAGGAAAAGACCTGTTTTTTGACCATGAAGAATTTAAAATCTAGTGAGGGAAATAATCTTAAATTGAAACATAAGTAGAAAAATGTAGTATATTCTATGGTCAAACACTGGACGGTAAAAATGCAGAGAGCAGGAATCAATTGCGATTAGGGAAATAAAGCATGTTTTCCAGAAGTTTGTGATACAAATTTTGAACAGCCCCAAAAGGTAAAAGAACATAAGTGATTTGCACAAAGCCACAAAGAAGTATAACCTGAGTTAGTATTCTCATTTTGTTAACTCTCAGTGAATTTTTATTTACATTAACTAAGCTTTACATTTGATTAATAGTCAGGATAAGAAGATTAAAAATTAGATGGGTAAACCTAATTGTCTCAGAGAAAAATAGTTTGTAGTGTATTGTACTGGGCAGCACACAGACCTATTAACTCAAATATTTTAATTTTAAAAGGCTTTTCAAAGTGTTAGCCCTCATAATATATCAATTTGCTTATATAATTACGTTATATATTTTACAGTTACTATTTGTTTACATACACTTTAAGAAATCTATATACTTGATTTATATGTCATAGTACACATGCACAATATTGGGACATAATTTGTGTTTTAGTCATAGATATAGGGACATTCCTAATAGGGAAATTTCTAGAAATATCTATATTTGGAGAAAATAAATCATCTTATAATGCAAGAAAATTGAAGTCATGGTTTCAAATATGAGAGGTTAATTAAAAATTTTATTACATTGAGATTACAATACATTGATAAATAAGAGAACTGTTTCATACATATATACAGGAGAAATGGATAAAAACTCAGATATGCAAGTGTAACATAGTACAACTAGAATAAAATAATTAAAATAATAAAATCTGATATGCAGAATACATTCTAGTACCAGGCTTGAATAAAATACTATTAGGTTTTATTTTTAAGCTATTTTAAATTAATGTTAAATAACTTCCACATTCAGTATAATTACTATGATGTATCTTTATACAGACGTTTTACAGAGTTTTATAAGTAATTCTTTTGTAAAGGTAATATCATATCCCTCTTTCAAATGCAAATTTTGTAACATGTTACAGAGATAAAATTGGGAAATACATTCTAAATACTGTATTTATGGTGAAAATAGTACAGAATCTTGAAACTGGGGCTAAAATATCAGTACATATGTATATATATACGTATGTATATGTATACACATACATACGTACGTATGTATGTGTATACATATACATATGTACGTATGTATGTGTATACATACATATGTATATATGTATGTATATGTATACGTATGTATGTATATGTATACGTATGTATGTATATGTATACGTATGTATGTATATATATATGAATCCAATATATTCTCTCTTAAAATGTTAGAGCTTTACAGTATTATCTGTAATTCTTTTAAGCTATCAAATATTTCAATTTTCAAAGCTCCAGCTGCTTTCCCACTGAATAAAAAATATATATTACAAGCAAAATGTGCTCTTAGGTACATAACTAGATTTTCTCTTCAACTTACCATGGAAAAAACAGATAAGCCATTTTTGTTACATGGGTAGCTAATTACATTTGTGTTTTATTTAGGTAACTCTATATTATGTGGGTGATGATACTAGTTATATTTGGTTAAGGACTTAAGTATTAAAAAAACACAAGAATTAAAAGAAATATCTTGTGAAGCATTGATAAATTGTCATAATAACAATGGTGAGAAGATGGCTAAAGGAAACAGTGGACAAGTCCAGACTCTATAGTTTCATCTTCTGAAGCAGAGAGAAATTACTTATCTGAAAGCAAATGGCAGTAATTGTGGAATGTCAGAAAAGTAGAATCATTTATAAACTAGATGGGGCATGAAAAGGAGTCAAAGAACTGAAGGAAAGTAAAAATGAAGGAAAAGGAAAAAGGAGGCAGGAAGAGAGGGAAGAAGAAAGGGAAGGAGGCAGATGCATTTCCTAAATCTTCCATTGCATCTCAATGGAAGTCTCTATTTTCGAATTTTAAACCTGACAAAGACAGGTACATTTAGTTTTAGGTTGATGTTTATTGTCTTACATATTCACCCCAGTGCCTTTTCTGATCTCCCGAATACTGCTAGAATAGGTCAAATTTCCCAAAAGTTTAGCTCATAACAGTCATCCATCATTCTCCACCAGTGCATTCAGGGTAATAAAGCAGGCTAAACTTTTATTCTAGGTATTTTTGACAAGAGAAAAATAATTTTTTAATGATAAGAAAATTGTACTAACTACTTGAAATAATAATGCAAAATAATAATTTGAGGCAGATAGTTTTTTTCTTCTCAACTTACATCATTACTGGAAATCATGCAACATATTTTAAACGATGTAGCATAAACTTATTTTACAATACTTTACCATCTAATTTCCTTTTCCTTTTGTGACATCCAAATACCTTGAACATTCTTGCATTTATTAGGTAATTCGTTCATTCAAGATCCATTTCATCAGCTACCAAATACCTACCATAACAAGACATCTTGCCCAATATCATGGAGCCTATAAGGTGTATACAAAATTAAATGAGACCATGTAAATATGTTTTTAAATCTATAAGAATATTATTTAAATAAAAGGTACATAACATTAAGCACAATCCAATACCAGTTCTGAGGAGTAATACAAAATAATCTTTTCATGCTTAGACTAACTCACCATTCAAGATAACAAATAAATTAGCCTCCAATTAATAGTGAGAATACTTTATACTTAAATATTTTCTAACTGAATTTTATTCATTACCTAATTTAATCACAAGAATCTTCATAGATTGACAACATGTTAGGCTATTCTTGCATTGCTATAAAGGAATACTGGAACCTGGGTAATTTATAAAGAAAAGAGGTCTAATTCACTCACAGTTCCACAGGCTGTACAAGCTTGAAACTGGCATCTGCTCAGCTTCTAGGGAGACCTCAGGCAGGGCACTTTTACTCAAGGTGGAAGGCCAAGCAGGAACAGATATGTCACATGGCGAATGTAGTAGCAGGAAAGTGAGAGTGGGGCAGAAATGCCATGCACCCGGAAACACCATATCTCACAAGATCTCACTCACTATTAAGAGGACAGCACTAAGGCACGAGGGATCCATCCCATGACCCAAACACTCCCACCAGGCCCCACCTCTGACACTAGGAATCACATATCCAGATGAGATTTAGAGGCCACACAATCCAAATGATACCAGACAAGGTCTCACTACTACTGTTTATAGATGAGGAAAATGTGACAGACTTTGTGAATGTGACAGATCACACAGAAAAACAGGGACAGAGGCAAGGCAAAAAGCCAGGCCCTCTTTACTACCCAAGCATTGCTTTTGACATGCCACTCCTCCCACTCCCCCACCCCCCCTTATGTTTTTGTACTCTGTAATGTGTTCAGCCTGGTTGCATTGCTAGAATGTAACAAAATAACCCACTAAAAGCTAAACTATTCCCTATTACTTCAGTAATTTAAAGAGAAGTCTTAGGTATTCAAATACCCAATTACCATAAAGATAATGAATTCAAGTTTTATTAATTCTCTCTTCCTCTTCCTGTCCTCTAGTGAAATGTTAACCAACCCCACATTTTTCCAAAATCCAAGATGGATAATTGGCCATCAAATAATTAAATAACATTATGTCTAGTGTTTTTAGGATGATAGACATGTTAGGTAACTGTGGTGATTTAGGATGGTTTGACTAAAGTCACATAAATAGCAAAGCAAGAACTCGAATACTTTTAAGATGTAAAAATCAATTAGAAAATGAGTGTAAGTTAACATCATTATTATACCTTAGAAATTTGTGTTTAACAAGGTCATATTAATCAGAGAATAATAAAAATGGTTATTTCTACATACTTTTTATTCTGGTTCTGCCACAAAATATTACTCAAAGGTGATAATGGGAAACTGATAGAATGTAGTGAACAAAAAGAAACCTCAGTAAACGCATTTTTCTCAACTTTATGCTGATATAAGTTAATATTCACATTTTCCAATTAAAACAGCACAATGGACTATTAAAATTTTCTATAGAGAAACTTACCGCATATAAAACAGAAACAAGTGGAAACTGAACAGAGAGGAAAGTCTCTCAATGAGCAGTGTAAGCTATGGAGACAAAAGATGAAGAGAAAGCAAAAATTCTAACTTCCTTTTACCTCTTTATCTATTATCTGTTTCAAAATTCCAAGGCAGGACGCCTAACAATTGCACCTTGTGGAAGATGTGCTGATGTGAAATCCTGCAGGATTCCAGGGCTACTATCTGTCAATGCTTGGGTTTAAGTCAGCAGCAGCTTCTTCCCTTGAGCATTAGCACAAGAATGACTTGTCTTATGTATTTTCAATGGATGCAAATGTCAACCTTATCACCAAGGAAGACATATGGTACCCAGTTCTGGAAAGTGAATTCTATTTCATAATGAGTTCAAATCTCCCTCTGAGATCAGAACTTGGTGCAGGGAAAAGCAGAGGTAAACATGCTGAGAGGGCTGTCTCAATGCCCTGTGCAGTGCCTGGACCTGCTTGAAAATGTCAGTTTTCAGAACATTTCTGCAAGTAGCTTTTACAAAAATGTGTTGCTAAAATAAAAGATATGGGAGAAAATAATCTTTATTTTTGGCAAAGAAAATCATATAATTAAGGATCATCCATTTATTCTGAAAGTGTCTTTTGTTTTCTTCCCACATTTCTTTGAAATGTGCAGGAGAAAATTGCCAGTAGAAAAAGTTTAGCTAATATAATTACCACTGGATTTCAACTCTTGTTCTTGGATAACTGTTGAGGTTGTCTGTTTCTACAGAGGCAATAGTGTGGCCTAAAGTTTTCTTCATTCATACTCCACAGAAGAATAATCTTGGCGAAAATTTCCATTTATGTCCTGAGGCCCACTTAAACTGTTTTGCTCCAAAACACAAGCCCCATTGTATTGGTTTACTCCAACTGCCATGAGAAAATAACACACGTAGGCTCAAAATAAAGGGATGGTGGAAGATCTACGAAGCAAATGGAAAACAAAAAAAGACACGTGTCTCAATCCTAGTCTCTGATAAAACACACTTTAAACCAACAAAAATCAAAAGAGACAAAGACGGCCATTACAAAATGGCAAAGAGATCAATTCAATAAGAAGAGCTAACTATCCTAAATATATATGCACCCAATAAAGGAGTACCAAGATTCATAAAGCAAGTCCCTAGAGACGTACAAAAAGACTTAGACTCCCACACAATAATAATGGGAGACATTAACACCTCACTGTCAACATTAGACAGATCAATGAGACAGAAAGTTAACAAGGATATCCAGGAATTGAACTCAGCTCTGCACCAAGCAGACCTATGAAGACATCTACAGAACTCTCCATCCAAATCAACGGAATATACTTTTTTCTCAGCAGCATACCACACCTATTCCAAAACTGACCACACAGTTGGAAGTAAAGCACTCCTCAGCAAATGTAAAAGGATACAAATTATAACAAACTGTCTCTCAGACCACAGTGCAATCAAACTAGAACTCAGGATTAAGAAACTCACTCAAAACCACTCAACTACATGGAAATTGAACAACCTCCTCCTGAATGACTATTGGGTACATAACGAAATGAAGGTGAAATAAAGATGTTCTTTGAAACCAACGAGAACAAAGACAAAAAATACCAGAATCTCTGGGACACATTTAAAGCAGTGTGTAGAGGGAAGTTTATAGCACTAAATGCCCACAAGAGAAAGCAGGAAAGATCTAAAATGGACAACCTAATATCACAATTAAAAGAACTAGAGAAGCAAGAGCAAACACATTCAAAAGCTAGCAGAAGGCAAGAAATAACTAAGATCAGAGCAGAACTGAAGGAAATAGAGACACAAAAAAACCTTCAAAAATCAATGAATACAGGAGCTGGTTTTTTGAAAAGATCAACAAAATTGATAGACCACTAGCAAGACTAATAAAGAAGAAAAGAAGAATCAAATAGATACAATAAAAAACAATAAAGGGGATATCACCACCGATCCCACAGAAATACAAACTACCATAAGAGATTACTAAAATCACCTCTACACAAATAAACTAGAAAATCTAGAAGAAATGGATAAATTACTGGACACATACACCCTCCCAAGACTAAACCAGGAAGAAGTTGAATCTGTGAATAGACCAATAACAGACTCTGAAACTGAGGCAATAATTAATAGATTACCAACCAAAAAAAGTCCAGGACCAGATGGATTCACAGCCGAATTCTACCAGAGGTACAAGGAGGAGCTGGTACCATTCCTTCTGAAACTATTCCAATCAATAGAAAAAGAGGGACTCCTCCCTAACTCATTTTATGAGGCCAGTATCATCCTGATACCAAAGCTGGGCAGAGACACAACAAAAAAAGAGAATTTTAGACCAATATCCCTGAAGAACATCGACGCAAAAATCCTCAATAAAATACTGGCAAACCAAATCCAGCAGAACATCAAAAACTTATCCACCATGATCAAGTGGGCTTCATCCCTGGGATGCAAGGCTGGTTCAACATACGCAAATCAATAAATGTAATCCAACATATAAACAGAGCCAAAGACAAAAACCACATGATTATCTCAATAGTTGCAGAAAAGGCCTTTGACAAAATTCAACAACCCTTCATGCTAAAAACTCAGTATATTCCGTATTGATGGGATGTATCTCAACACAATAAGAACTATCTATGACAAACCCACAGACAATACCATACTGAATGGGCAAAAACTGGAACCATTCCCTTTGAAAACTGGCGCAAGACAGGGATGCCCTCTCTCACCACTCCTATTCAACATAGTGTTGGAAGTTCTGGCCAGGGCAATTAGGCAGGAGAAGGAAATAAAGGGTATTCAATTAGGAAAAGAGGAAGTCAAATTGTCCCTGTTTGCAGATGACATGATTGTATATTTAGAAAACCCCATCATCTCAGCCCAAAATCTCCTTAAGCTGATAAGCAATTTCAGCAAAATCTCAGGATACAAAATCAATGTGCAAAAATCGCAAGCACTCTTAAATACCAATAACAGACAAACAGAGAGCCAAATCATGAGTGAACTCTCATTTACAATTACTTCAAAGAGAATAAAATACCTAAGAATCCAACTTACAAGGGATATGAAGGACCTCTTCAAGGAGAACTACAAACCACTGCTCAATGAAATAAAAGAGGATACAAACAAATGGAAGAACATTCCATGCTCATGGGCAGGAAGAATCAATATCGTGAAATTGGCCATGCTGCCCAAGGTAATTTATAGATTCAATGCCATCCCCATCAAGCTACCAATGCCTTTCTTCACACAATTGGAAAAAGCTACTTTACAGTCCATATGGAAGCAAAAGGAGTCCACATTGCCAAGTCAATCCTAAGCCAAAAGAACAAAGCTGGAGGGATCAAACTACCTGACTTCAAACTATACTACAAGGCTACAGTAAACAAAATAGCATGACACTGGTACCAAAACAGAGATATAGATCAATGGAACAGAACAGAGCCCTCGGAAATCATATCACACATCTACAACCATCTGATCTCTGACAAACCTGACAAAAACAAGCAATGGGGAAAGGATTCCCTATTTAATAAATGGTGCTTGGAAAACAGGCTAGCCATATGTGAAAGCTGAAACTGGATCCCTTCCTTACACCTTCTACAAAAATTAAATCAAGATGGATTAAAGACTTACATGTTAGACCTAAAACCATAAAAACCCTACAAGAATACTTAGGCAATACCATTCAGGACATAGACATGGGCAAGGACTTCATGTCTAAAATACCAAAAGCGATGGCAGCAAAAGCCAGAATTGACAAATGGGATCTAATTCAACTAAGGAGCTTCTGCACATCAAAAGAAACTCCCATCAGAGTGGACAGGCAACCTATAGAATGGGAGAAAATTTTTGCAATCTACTCATCTGACAAAGGGCTAATATCCAGAATCTACAAAGAACTTAAACTTACAAGAAAAAAACAAACAACCCCATCAACAAGTGGGTGAATGATACGAACAGACACTTCTCAAAAGAAGACATTTATGCAGCCAAAAAGCACATGAAAAAATGCTCATCATCATTGGCCATCAGAGACATGGAAATCAAAACCAAAATGAGATACCACCTCACACCAGTTAGAACGGTGATCATTAAAAAGTCAGGAGACAACAGGTGCTGGAGAGGATGTGGAGAAATAGGAACACTTTTACACTGTTGGTGGGACTGTAAACTAGTTCAACCACTGTGGAAGGCAGTGTGGAGATTCCTCAGGGATCTAGAACTAGAAATACCATTTGACCCAGCCATCCCATTACTGGGTATATACCCAGAGGATTTTAAATCATGCTGCTATAAAGACACATGCACAGGTATATTTATTGCAGCACTATTCACAATAGCAAAGACTTGGAGCCAAGCCAAATGTTGAACAATGATAGACTGGATTAAGAAAATGTGGCACATATACACCATGGAATACTATGCAGCCATAAAAAGTGATGAGTTCATGTCCTTTGTAGAGACATGGCTGAAGCTGGAAACCATCATTCTCTGTAAACTGTCACAAGGACAAAATACCAAACACCGCATGTTCTCACTCATAGGTGGGAATTGAACAATGTGAACTCATGGACATAGGAAGGGGAACATCACACAGTGGGGCCTGTTGTGGGGTGGGCGTGGGGGGAGAGATAGCATTAGGAGATATACCTAATGTTAAATGACGAGTTAATGGGTGCAGCACACCAACATGGCACATGTATACATACATAACTAACCTGCACATTGTGCACATGTACCCTAAAATTTAAAGTATAATAAATAAAAGGACCCATCTTGAATCATTGGGGGTGGGTTTCCCCTATATCTGGGGCCCACGTTATTTTTTCTTTTTCCCAGGTGCATGTGGGAACCTGATTCCCTTTGGTAGGTGCAGAGAAATGTTATCGGTTAGGTCCTCAGAGAGGCTTGTTTCACTCCCTGATGACTGGTGAGTAGTCTGTGTATGGTCCAGGTTAACTATGGGTCACACGGAGTCTAAAAATTATACTCATCTCTTCTATATTAAACTCCAGTTAAAACATAAAAGGGTTCGAGTCCCCATGGAAAATACGGTCACTCTTTAGGGCAGTGGTAAAATTCTGCCCTTCATCTCCTGAAAAAGGAAATTTAAATGCAGACCTATTAAAACAGGGAAGGGTCCAAGTAACCATGGAAAATATGGTCACTCTATTCAGGACAGTGGAAAAATAATGTCCTTGGTTTCCTGAAAAAGGAACCTTATATGGCAAAGTATGGGACGGTGTTGGTGCAGCATTCCAGGCACTGGTCTCAACAGGGAATTTTCTCCCCGTCACTGTTTGGGGTGGTTGGGAATTGTGCGTTCTGTCTTGGTGGCATGCCGTTCCCATGAACCCCTGCAGTAGTCACAGTTTTTTGCCTTTTCCTCAGTTTCTCTGACTTTTCCTCAGCCATCCTCTCCCACATGGCCTTCGTTATCTGATCATCCTCTCCCTTCACTTACTCCTCCTCCTCCTGTTGAAAATTCAATGTCTAACTCCAGTGACTTTGGCTTAATGTTAGCTCCTGCTTATCTTATTTCTTTTCACAAAGAGCCGGTACTTGTAGCTCCCGCAGCCCCAAGTCACACAGCCCAGGACCATATATATACGCTAATTCTTCTCTTTTCAAACCTCCAGAGTCAACTAATGGCTCCAGGACCAAACTACAATGCGCCTATAATTCTGCAGGTCCTCCCCCATCCACTTCAGCCCCTCGCCCTCGTGTTGTTTTGGTTCCTCAGCCAGTCAGTTTGCCATCCACTCAGCGTGCTTCTCTGTACCCTTCTTCACACATGGACGCCAGTAATCACCAGTATACTTCTGCTCCTCCAATACCCCTTTCTCACATTCTCATTCCTGTCTGACCCCCTCACCCTCCGTTTCCGTTATCTACACATGATTTTCCTGTCACTTCTATGCTGACTCCATCCAGATGCCTACTCTTGAAACTTCAATGCAACACTTATTATGCCAAAACAAAGAAACAAGTGGATTAGACGTGTGGACTTATCCAGTCATGCTAGACGCTCCTAACTTCCTAGGGTTACAAATGTGTCTCTATGTACCTCTTAATCTTACCTTTTTAAAAGAATTTAAGGATGCTTGGACTCAGTATGGTCCTACTTCTCCTTATGTTAAAATGCTATTACAACCTTTTTTTTTACAGAGGTCACTTTACTTATTTTAGACTGGGAACTTTTTGCAAAACTGTTCTGACCCCATCTCAGCATTTACAATTTCGTACCTGGTGGTTAGAAAGGCTAATTTGCAGGCTCAGCTAAGTTGGACTAATGGCATTCTAGTTACTCAGACTCAGCTCACAGGCTCCGATAATTTCTTTGATACTTATGCCCAATTAAACTTTGATGCTCTTACCACGGAACAAGTAACAAAGGTGTGTATGAGAGCTTGGGATAAATGACACGACCCAGGCCAACCTCCTGTTTCTTTTACTACCATTAAACAAGGTCACACTGAATTGTACCCTGATTTTTTAGCAAAATTGCAAGATGTTGTTGAAAAGTCTGTCTCTGATGAGCGTGCTGAAGGTATTCTCCTTTGTACGTTAGCTTTTGAAAATGCGAACCATGAGTGTAAAATGGTCAAGCATTCTGTCCAATGACAAAATTTGCCTGATCATGAGGTGTTGCCTGCATATATTAAAGCATGTGAAGACATTGGATCAGACACCCACAAGGCTATCCTGTGGGCACAGGCCATGAAGGATACCAATCAAACTGGCCCCACTAATTCTTTTCTTGGAGAGTGCTATAATCATGCTCAACTTGGTCATACTCAGAAAAATTGCACTGTTAAAAACTTAAAAGCTTCCAAGCTGGCTCAACAAACATGGCCAAATGCTGCTGCTACTATTAGTCCACGTGGTAAAGGTAAACATTGGGCTAGTAATTGTCACTTTAAGTATGATATAAATGGAAACCCCCTACCACAAAACCAGGGGAATAGGGAGCAGATCTTGTCCCAGGCCCCGATATCAAATGAGATGCTTCAGACTCAGACCAACATTGCGTCCAACTTCAGGCAGTCCCAACAACCCCCAGCACAAACAAATTTACCTACAGCCAACCCAGATGGGTCCCAGCCTTTCCCTCTGTCTCAGTACAATGCTTATCCACCTCCATGGTAAGGGGCAGGGTGGTCGATCTCTGTAATACTATTCCTCTAAATTTACTACCTAACTCTTTGCCTTTAATTATCCCCCAGGGGTCACTGGCCATTTACCTCAAGGTTTAGTGGGCCTGGTGGTAGGAAGGGCATCCACCTCTGCTAAAGGAATCACCATTCATACTGGTCTCATTAATTCTGATTCTGTTGATGACATTAAATTAATTGTGTCTGCCAAGGCTCCTGTTTCCATTCAGGCCAGTGAGTCAATTGCTCAATTGCTTTTACTACCTAATATCATTTTAAAGAAAGGAGATAAGATGAGTGGCCCTGGGATGGGCTCCAGCAGTGAAAAGGCCACTTATTGGACTAATGTAATTTCTAAACAACTGCCCACCTGCACCATATATATTCAAGGAAAAAAGTTTGAGGGTCTAGTGGATACCAGGGCTGATGTTTCTGTTATTTCCTCTAGTTTATGGCCTTCTTCCTGGCTTAAACATCCCACTAACATGGGACTAGTAGGTGTTGGAAAAGCTGAGGAAGTGTATGAGAGCACATTTATCTTGCCTTGCACTGGCCCAGATGGTCAAAATGGTACAATTCAGCCCTAAATCATGCCAATTCCCATTAATCTCTGGGGTAGAGATTTACTGGTACAATGGGGGGCTGAAATTAATATTCCATATAACTCTTATAGTGCTCCCAATCAGCATATGATGGAAAACATGGGGTTTGTTCCTGGGCTCGGTCTCGGTCCAAAGCATGAAGGGATTACTAAACCCCTCCCAGTTGCTATAAAAGAAACAGGGCAGGTTTAGGTTATTCTTTTCAGTGGTGGCTGCTGCCATGCCTCCTGACCCTATCCCTTTACAATGGAAATCTGAGACACTGGTTTGGATTCAGCAGTGGCTGCTCTCTAAACAAAAACTGGAGGCTTTAACTCACTTGGTTTCTGAACAGTTACAACTTGTAAATGTGGAACCTTCTCTTTCCCCCTGGAATACTCCTGTGTTTCTAGTAAAATGAAATCAGGCAAGTAGCAGATGGTAACTGATTTAAGAGCCATTAACACTGTAATTAAACCTATGGGGGCTATCCAACATGACATGCCTGCCCCTGCTTTAGTACCTAAAAATTGGCCTCTCATAGTTATTGATCTTAAAGATTGTTTTTTTCATATTGCTTTACATAAATTGGATTGTGAAAAATTTGCTTTTACTGTACTGTCTATTAAAAATCAGGAGCCTGCACCTTGTTATCAATGGAAGATACTTCCTCAGGGAATGCTGAATAGCCCTACAATCTGCCAGCATTATGTTGGACAAGTGCTTTCACCAGTTCGAGCCCAATTCCCCCAGGCCTATATTATTTATTATATTGATGATATTTTAATTGCTGCCCCCAACTGATAAAGAATTAATTGTTTGTAATCAAATTTTGAGCCACTGTGTTACAGAGGCTGGATTACACATTGCTCAGGATAAAATTCAACAGACCACTCCTGTTCAAAATTTAGGAATGGTGGTCATAAACAATTTATTCAACCTCAAAATTTCAAATTAGGAGAGATCCTTTGAAAACTTTAAATGACTTCAAAAACTTTTGGGTAACATTAATTATTTAAGACCTACTTTAGGTATTCTGACCAATAGGCCTCAATGTGCTCTCAAATATCCCTTTGCAGAGTCTACAAAAACCGTGTTTCCAAACTGCTGATTGAAAAGCGAGGTTTAATTCTGTGAGATGAGTATACACATCACAAAGTGGTTTCTCAGATATATTCCTTCTAGTTTTTACCCTGGGGTATTCACGTTTTCACCATTGGCCTCAATGAGATCCCAAATATCCCTTTGTCAATTGTACAAAAACAGTGTTTCCAAACTGTGGAATGAAAAGAAAGAATTAACTCTTCAAGATGAATGAACACATCACAATGTGGTTTCTCAGATAGCTTCTTCCTAGTTTTTATACTAGGATATTTGATTTTTCACCAATAACCTCAAGGAGCTCCCAAAAGTCCATTTGCAGAATAAACAAAAACAGGTTTGCAAACTGCTGAATCAGAATAAAGTTTAACACTATGAGATGAAGGCACACATCACAAAGAAGTTTCTCAGAAAATTTCTTGCTTATCAGAAGATATTTTCTTTTTCACTATAGGCCTCAATGCACTCCCAAATATTCCTTCGCAGATTTTACAAAAACAGTGTTTCCCAACTGCTGAGTGAAAAGAAAGGGTTAACTCTGCTAGTTGAATGCACACATCACACAACGGTTTCTCTGATAGCTTTTTTTTAGTTTCTATCCTGGGAGATTCTCTTTTTCGCCACTGGCCTCAATGAGCTCCCAAATGTCCATTTGCAGAATGGACAAAAACAGTGCTTCCAAACTGCCGTGTCAAAAGAAAAGTTGAACTTTTTGAGATGAATGCACAAATCACAAAGTGGATTCTCAGTTAGTTTCCTTCTAGTTTTTATCCTGGTATCAGTTAGCTTCCTTCTAGTTTTTATCCTAGTATATTTGCTTTATTGACACTGGCCTCAATGAGCGCCGAAATGTCCATTTGCAGAATGGACAAAAACAGTGTTTCCAGACTGCTGAATTAAAAGAAAGGTTTAACTTTGTGAGATGAATTCACAGATCACCAAGCAGTTTCTCAGAAAGTTTGTTTCTAGTTTTTATCTGAAGATATTTTGTTTTTCAGCCTAAGCTTCAATGTGATCCCAGATGTTATTATGCAGATTCTACAAAAATAGTGTTTCCAAACTGCTGAATGAAAAGAAAGTTTTAGCTTTGGGAGATGAATGAACACATCAAATAGCAGTTTCTCAGATAGCTTCCTTTAGTTTTTATCCTAGGGTATTCATTTATTGCCATTGGCCTCAATGAGCTCCCAAAGGTCCATTCATAGAATGGACAAAAACAGCGTTTCCAAACAGGTGAATCAAAAGAAAGTTTTAACTCTGTGAGTTGAATACACAAATCACAAAGCAGTTTCTCAGATAGCATCATTCTAGTTTTTATCCTGGGATATTCACTTTTTCACCATTGTCCAGAATGAGTTCACAAATGTCCATTTGTAGAATGGTCAAAAACAGTGTTTCCAAACTGCTGAATTAAAAGGAAATTTTAACTCTGTGAGATGAATACACACTTCACAAAAAGTTTCTAGGAAAACTTCCTTTTACTTTTTACGTGAAGATATTTTCTTTTTTACCATAGGGCTCAATGCACTCCCAAATATCCCTTTGCAGATTCTATAAAAGCAGTTTTACAAACTGAAGAGTGAAAAGAAAGGTTTAAATCTTCCAAATGAATGCACACATCAAAAAGCAGTCTCAGATAGCTTCCTTCTAGTTTTTATCCTGGGATATTCATTTTTCTCCATTGGCCTCGTTGACCTCCCAAATGTCCATTCACAGAATGGAAAAAAAAACAATGATTCCAGACTGCTGAATCAAAAGAAATGGTAAACTCAGAGGTGAATGTACACATCAAAAAGCAGTTTCTCAGAAAGCTTCTTTCTAGTTTCTATACAGAGGTATTTTCTTTTTCACCATAGGCCTCAATGCACCCTTCGCAGGTCCTACCATAGACCTCAATGCACCCTTCTCAGGTATTTTCTTTTTCTTTTTCACCATAGACATCAATGCACCCTTTGCAGATTCTACAAAAACACTGTTTCCAAAACTGCTAAATGAAAAGAAAGGTTTAACACTGTGAGAAGAATGCACACATCACAAAGAAGTTTATCAGAGAGCTTCCTTCTTTTTTTATCCTGGAATATTCACTTTTTCACATTGGCCACAATGAGCTCCCAAATGTTCATACTCAGATTGGACAAAAACAGTGTTTCCAAACTGCTGGATCAAAAGAAAGATTTGACACTGTGAGATGAATGTGCACATCACAAAGCAGTTTCTCAGAAAACTTCTTTCTACTTTTTATCTGAAAATATTTTCTTTTTCACCATAGGCCTCAATGCACTCCCAAATATCCCTTCACAGATTCTACAAAAACAATGTTTCCAAACTGCTGAATGAAAAGAAAGGTTTAACTCTGCAAGTGAATGCACACATCAAAAAGTGGTTTCCCAGATACCTTCCTTCTAGTTTTTATCCTGGGATAAATCTACCCTTTTTCGCCTTTGGCCTCAATGAGCTCCCAAATGTCCATTTGCAGAACGGAAGAAAAAAGTGTTTCCAAAAAGCTGAGTAAAAATAAGGTTTACCTCTGTGACAAGAATGCACACATTACAAACAGTTTCACAGAAAGCTTCCTTCTATTTTTTATCTGAGGATATTTTCTTTTTCACCATTGGCCTCAAAGCACTCTCAAATGTCCCTTCACAGATTCTACAAAAACAGTGTTTCCAAACTGCTGAATGAAAAGAAAGTTTTAGCTTTGGGAGATGAATGAACACATCAAATAGCAGTTTCTCAGATAGCTTCCATCTAGTTTTTATCCTGGGTTATTCTCTTTTTCACCACTTCCTTCAATGAGCTCCCATATGTCCATTTGCACAATGGACAAAAACAGGTTTCCAAAGTGCTGACTCAAGAGAAAAGTTTAACTCTGTGAGATGAATGCAAAAATCACAAACCAGTTTCTCAGAAAGCTTCTTTCTTGTTTTTATCTAAAGATCTTTTCTTTTTCACCATAGGCCTCAATGCCTTCACAAATATCCCTTCACAGACTCTACGAAAACAGTGTTTCCAAACTGCTGAATGAAAAGATTTAGTTCTGTGAGATGAATGCACACATCACAAGGTGGTTTCTCAGATAGTTTCTTTCTAGTTTTTATCTTGTGGTCTTTGCTTTTTCATCATTGGCCCAATGAGCTCCCAAATATCCATTTGCAAAATGGAAAAAACAGTATTTCCAAACTGCTGAATCAAAAGAAGGGTTTAACTATCGGAGATGAATGCATACCTCACAAAGCAGTCTCTGAGAAAGCTTCTTTCTACTTTTTATCTGAAGATATTTTCTTTTTCACCATAGGCATCATTGTGTTCTAAAATATCCCTTCACAGTTTCTACGAAAACAATGTTTCCACAATGCTGAATTAAAATAAAGCTTTAACTCTCTGAGATGAATTCACACATCACAAAGCAGTTTCTCAGAAAGCTTCTTTCTAGTTTTTATCTGAAGATATTTTCTTTTTCACCATAGGCCTCAATTCACTCCGAAATAACCCTCTGCAGATTCTACAAAAAGAGTTTTTCCAAATTGCTGAATGAAAAGAAAGGTTTAACTCTGTGAGATGAATGTACACATCACAATGTGGTTTCTCAGATAGCTTCTTTCTAATTTTTATCTGAAGATATTCACTTTTTCACCATAGGCCTCAATGGGCTCCCAAACATCCCTTCGCAGAGTCTTCAAAATCAGTGTCTCCAAAATGCTGAATGAAAAGATAGTTTTAATTCTGTGAGATGAAGGCAAACGTCACAAAGCAGTTTCTCTGGTAGGTTTCTTCTAGTTTTTATCCTGGGATATTCACTTTTTCACCGTTGGCCTCAATGAGCTCCCAAATATCAGATCACAGACAGGACAAAAACAGTGCTTCCAAACTGCAGAATCAAAAAATGATTTAACTCTGCTAGATGAATGCACACATCACAAGCAGTTTCTCAGAAAGCTTCTTTCTAGCTTTTTATTTATTTATTTATTTTTTATTATTATTATACTTTAAGCTTTAGGGTACATGTGCACAATGTCCAGGTTAGTTACATATGTATACAAGCGCCATGCTGGTGAGCTGCACCCACTCACTCATCATCTAGCATTAGGTATATCTCCCAAAGCTATCCCTCCCCCCCTGCACCCACCCCACAACAGTCCCCAGAGTGTGATGTTCCCCTCCCTGTGTCCATGTGTTCTCATTGGTCAATTCCCACCTATGAGTGAGAATATGCGGTGTTTGGTTTTTTGTTCTTGCGGTAGTTTACTGAGAATGATGATTTCCAATTTCATCCATGTCCCTACAAAGGACATGAACTCATCATTTTTTATGGCTGCATAGTATTCCATGGTGTATATGTGCCACATTTTCTTAATCCAGTCTATCCTTGTTGGACATTTGGGTTGGTTCCAAGTCTTTGCTATTGTGAATAATGCCGCAATAAATATACGTGTGTGTGTGTCTTTATAGCAGCATGATTTATAATCCTTTGGTTATATACCCAGTAATGGGATGGCTGGGTCAAATGGTATTTCTAGTTCTAGATCCCTGAGGAATCGCCACACTGACTTCCACAATGGTTGAACTAGTTTACAGTCCCACCAACAGTGTAAAAGTGTTCCTATTTCTCCACATCCTCTCCAGCACCTGTTGTTTCCTGACTTTTTAATGATTGCCATTCTAACTGGTGGGAGATGGTATCTCACTGTGGTTTTGATTTGCATTTCCCTGATGGCCAGTGATGGTGAGCATTTTTTCATGTGCTTTTTGGCTGCATAAATGTCTTCTTTTGAGAAGTGTCTGTTCATGTCCTTCACCCACTTTTTGATGGGGTTGTTTGTTTTTTTCTTGTAAATTTGTTTGAATTCATTGTGGATTCTGGATATTAGCCCTTTGTCAGATAAGTAGGTTGCGAAAATTTTCTCCCATTTTGTAGGTTGCCTGTTCACTCTGATGGTAGTTTCTTTTGCTGTGCAGAAGCTCTTTAGTTTAATTGGATCCCATTTGTCAATTTTGGCTTCTGTTGCCATTGCTTTTGGTGTTTTAGACATGAAGTCCTTGCCCATAGTATTCCATGCCCATGCCTATATCCTGATCTGAAGATATTTTCACCATAAGCCTCAATGTGCTCCTAAATATGCCCTTGCAGATTTTTCAAAAACAGTGTTCCCAAACTGATGAAGGAATAGAACGGTTTAACTCAGTGAGATGAATGCACAGGTCATAAAGTTGTTTCTCAGATAGGTTCCTTCTAGTTTTTATCCTGGGATATTCCCTTTTTCACCATTGGCCTCAATGAGCTCCCAAATGTCTGTTCACAGAGTGGACAAAACCAGTGTTTCCAAATTGTGGAATCAAAAGAAAGGTTTAACTCTGTGAGATGAATGCACTTATCACAAAGCAGTTTCTCAGAAAGCTTCTTTCTAGTTTTTATCTGAACATATTTTCTTTTTGACCATAGGCCTCAATGCTCTCCCATATATCCCTTCACAGATTCTACAAAAAAGTGTCCCCAAACTGCTGAATGAAAAGAAATGTTTAACTCTGCAAGATCAATGTACGCATCACAAAGCAGTTTCTCTGATACCTTTCTTCTAGTTTTTATCCTGACATATATGCTTTTTCACTAGTGGCCTCAATGCGCTCCCAAATATCCGTTTGCAGACTCTACAAAAACAGTGTTTCCAAACTGCTGAGTGAAAAGGAAAGTTTAACTGGGCGAGATGAATGCACATATCACAAAACGGTTTCTCAGATAGCTTCCTGAAAGTTTTTATCATGGAATATTTGCTTTTTCACCATTGGCCTCAATCAGCTTCAAAATGTCCATCCACAGAATGGACAAAAACAGTGTTTCCAAACTGCTGAATGAAAAGACAGGTTTAACTCTGTGAGATGAATGCAAATATCTCAAAGCAGATTCTGAGATTGCTTCCTTCTAGTTTTTATCCTGGCATGTTCTCTTTTTTGGCATTTGCCTCAATGAGCTCCCGAATGTCCATTTGCAGATGGTTAAAAACCATGTTTCTGAACTGCTAAATTAAAAGAAAGGTTAAACTATGTGAGATGAATGCACACATCACAAAGCAGTTCCTCAGAAAGCTTCTTTCTAGTTTTTATCTGAAGATAATTTCTTTTTCACCATAGGCCTCAATGTGCTCCCAAATATCCATTCACAGATTCTACAAAAACAGTGTTTCCAAACAGCTGAATGAAAGAAAAGTTTAACTCTGTGAGATGAATGCACACATCACAAAGTGGTTTCCCAGATAGCTTCTTTCTAGTTTGTATCCTGGGATATTCCCTTTTTCACCATTGTCCTCAATGAGCTCCAAAATATTCATTCGCTGAATCAACAATAACAGCTTTTCCAAACTCCGAATCAAAAGAAAGGTTTTAACACTTTGAGATGAATGCACACCTCACAAAGCAGTTTCTCAGAAGGCTTCTTTCTGTTTTTTTTTTTTTTCTGAATATATTTTCTTGTTCACCATAGGCCTTAATGAACTCCCAAATATCCCTTCGTTGATTGTACAAAAATAGTGTTTCTAAACTGCTGAATGAAAAGAAAGATTTAACTCTGCAAGAAAAAACACACCTCACAAAGTGGTTTCTCTAATAGCTTCCTTCTAGTTTTTATCCTGGGATAATTTAATTGTCACCATTGGCCTCAATGAGCTCCCAAATATCCATTCACAGAATGGACAATAACAGTGTTTACAAACTGCTGAATCTAAAAAAGGTTGAACTCTGTGAGATGAATGCACATATCACAAAGAATTTTCTCAGAAAGCTTCTTTGTAGTTTTTATCTGAAGATACTTTCTTTTTCACCATAGACATCAATATGCTCCCAAATATTCCTTTGCAGATTCTACCAAAACAGTGTTTCCAAACTACTGAATGAAAAGAAAGCTTTAACTCTGTGAGATGAATGCACACATCACAATGCGGTTTCTTAGGTAGGTTTCTTCTAGTTTTATCCTGAGATATTCACTTTTTCACCATTGGCCTCAATGGCTCCCAAATGTCCATTTGCAGTTAGGAGAAAAACAGTGTTTCTATACTGCTGCATCAAAAGAAAGGTTTAACTCTGTGAGATGAATGCACACATCACAAAGCAGGTTCTCCAAAAGCTTCTTTTACTTTTGACCTGAAGATATTTTCTTTTTCACCTTAGGCCTCAGTACTTTCCCTATTATCTCTTCATAGATTCTACAAAAACCATGTATCCAAACTGCTGAATGAAAAGAAAGGTTTAAAGCTGTGAGATGAATGCACACATCATGAAGCAGTTTGTCAGATAGGTTCCATCTACTCTTTATGATGGTACATTTGCTTATTCGCAATTGGCCTCAGTAAGCTCCCAAATGTTCATTCACAGAATGGACAAAAACAGTGTTTATAATCTCTTGAATCAAAAGAAAGTTTTACCTCTGTAAGATGAATGCATACATCACAACGCAGTTTCTCAGAAAGATTTTTTCTACTTTTTATCTGAAGATATCTTCTTTTTCACCATAGACCTCAACATGCTCCCAAATATGCCTTCACAGATTCTACAAAACAGTGTTTCAACACTGGTGAATGAAAAGAAAGGGTTAACTCTGTGAGGTGGATGCACACATCACAAAGCAGTTTCTCAGAAAGCTTCTTTCTTGTTTTTATTTGAAGATTTTTCTTTTTCACCAAGGGCCTCAATGGGCTCCCAAATATCCCTTTGCAGATTCTACAAAAATAGTGTTTCCAAACTGCTGAACTAAAAGAAAGGTTTAACCTGCTAGATGAATGCACACATCACAAAGCAATTTCTTAGATAGCTTCCTTCTAGTTTTTTTCCTGTGATATTCACTTTTTCACCTTTGGACTCAATGAACCTGCAAGTGTCCATTTGCAGAATGGCAAAAACTGTTTCCAAACTGCTGAATCTAAAGAAAAGTTTAATTCTGTGAGATGAATGCTCACACCACAAAGCAATTTCTCAGAAAACTTCTTTCTAGTTTTTATCTGAAGAAATTTTCTTTTTCACCATTGGCCTCAATATGCTCCCAAATATCCCAATGCAGACCCTACAAACAAAGCGTTTCCAAATTGCTGCATGAAATGAAAAGTTTAACTATGTGAGATGAATGCACTCATCACAAATCAATGTCTCAGATGGCTTCCTTCTATTTTTTATCCTGGGATATTCACTTTTTCACCATTGGCCTTAGTGAGCTCCCAAATGTCCATTCGCAGAATAGACAAAAACAGTGTTTTCAAACTGCTGAATCAAAAGAAAGGTTTAACTCTGTGAGATGAATGCACACATCATGAAGCAGTTTCTCAAAATGTTCTTTCTACTTTTCATCTGAAGTTATTTTGTTTTTCACCATAGGAGTTAATGCACTCCCAAATATCCCTTTGCAGATTCTGCAAAAACAGTGTTTCCAAACTGCTGAATGAAAAGAAAGTTTTGTCTCTGTGAGATGAAAGCACACATCACAAAACGGTTTGTCAGATAGCTTCCTTCAATTTTTTATCTTGGGATATTTGCTTTTTTTGCCCTTGGCCTCAATGAGCTCCCAAATGGAATGGACAAAACCAGTGTTTCCAAACTGCTGAATCAAAAGAAAAGTTTAATTCTGTGAGATGAAAACACACATCACAAAGCAGTTTCTCAAAAGCTTCTTTCTACTTTTTATCTGAAGATATTTTCTTTTTCACCATAGCCCTCTGCCAAGACCAGCTCATTCAGGGAGACCCTAACCCAGTGGTGCTAGAGGAATTAACAACACACACACAGAAATACAGAGGTGTGAAGTGGGAAATCAGGGGTCTCACTGTCTTCAGAGCTGAGAGCCTCAATCAGACACTTACCCACAAATTTATTAACTGCAAGCCAGTCATTAACATTGTTTCTATAGATAGTAAATTAACTTAAAGTATCTCTTATGGGCTATGAAGGGATGGGCAAAATTAAAGGAATAGGTTGGGGTAGTTAACTGCAGCTGGAACATGACATTAAGGCACAGATTTCTCATGCTGTTTGTGGCTTAAGAAAGCCTTTAAGTGGTTTTCCACCCTGGACAGGCCAGTTGTTTCTTGCCTTCATTCTGGTAAACCCCCAATCTTTCAGTGTCAGCATTAGTGCCATCATGACCATGTCACAGTGCTTATTGTTTATGGCCAGTTTTGGGGCCAGTTTATGGCCAGATTTTTGGGGAGCTTGCTCCCAACATGTACCCCTTCTTTGATTTTCAAATTGATAAAAGCAAAGGCAGCTTTGTCATGGTGAGCTGCTTCTCACAGGAGTCAGGGTCTGCATCTGCAGACTATACAAAGACAAACAATAAAGATTAAAAGTACAATCATCATTGAAATCACAGAGTTACCAAGTGTTTTTATCCATTCTAATGGATGACTTGCTGCTACTTTGTCTGCAGATCTTTAAACACTCCAGTTCCTGGCATTAAAGTCAGGTGTGCCTGGGATGCTTTAAATATTTGTTCTTTTAATTTTGCTATATCCAAAAACAAGTTTGTAGAGTGTCCTTCTAGATGCTTTTTTATTATTTCCCTAATTTTGATCTTATTAAGAGCATCTAATAGTTTCTACAAATCCTTATATTAAGCTCCTTAGTGCGGGCCATATCATTTGAGGATGAGGTGCCACTATACCACCATGGTTCCAGATAATAGGAAGTTTTGTTATATTTCTTATCATATCTATCATCTGACCATTTTGTTCAGATCATCTGAACATTATGTGGCCGTGGCACATAGACTGAGACGTGCAATTCAAACTAAACATCCCCTTAGGGGACTAATTAATAATGATTCCATGGGAATCATAGGAATCGTTGTGCAGTGCCTCTGCCTGCTCTGCAATGCAAATCTTCCTAAACAAGTATGTTCATTTTCTCTAACTGGGTCCAATCCTGTTTACAAATAGGTTTTTGAGGGCAGTTGCCTCAATATAGGAGCCAATTTATTATGGTAAATACCAAGATCAGAAAGCATGTGTAACTGTGTCATAGAATGATTGCATCCAGGCATTATTGCCAGCCGAGATTGATAAATATTACCAGTAAGTATAATTGTTCTCTTTGTCAGCCCTTATTGAAGGAATACTCATGGCAGTGGTGATAACTGCTATCATAGCTACCATTAAATTATTCATTGTGACTGGTTGTCCCACTTTCCTCAAGTTTTCTTCTGCCATCTGTGACAGCTTCTTAATCTGTCCCCAGGAGGGTGGCTGTGTTTGATGGGTGTTGCTCATGACAGTTGGTGTCCCCCTCAGCATCAGTCTCAACATGGCTGCAACTGGGGTGTCCTCAGGATCCTCCTGGGGTCTCTTTCTCAGCATCTGGCTCACAATAAAGTTTCAGGTGTCTTGATGGTATCCAGATTGTCTGTTGATTTTGGCCTGGAGAAACACAAGCATAACTTCTACCCCAAGTTATTATTTTACCTGTTTCCCAACTTTTCATAATCGGATCTCTCCACCAAATCAGTTGTTCTGCTTCTGTCTTTGTAGCTGGTTTCTGTAGATGTTGTTCAGCTGCTGATAGCATCTGGCCTTTGGGCAGGCTCAAAAAATTAAAGTTAATAATGCTGGATTCAGTGGCATCTGCAGGGTTCCATATTCTCTTTCACCCCCTTTCTGGTTTTGCAACTGCTGTTTTCGAGAGAGATTCATTCTTTCCACTGTGGCTTGTCCTTGAGAACTGTATGGGATACCAGTAACATGTTTAATATTCCACATAGAGAAAAATGTAGCTAGAGCTTGGCTAGTATAGCCTGGGGCATTATCTGTTTTAATAGTAGCGGGAATGCCCATCACCACAAAACACTACAAAGGGTGACATTTAACACGGGTAGAAGACTCTCCTGATTGGCAAGTAGCCCAAAGTGAGAAAAGGTGTCCACACATACATGTACCTAAGATAGTCTCCCAAACGAGGGAACATGTGTGATATCCATTTGCCTAAGAGAGTTAGGTTCCAATCCTCGAGGATTAACTCCTCCTATGAAAGATGAGGAATGTACCATTTGGCAAGTTGGGCGTCACTGGATAATAGCTTTAGCTTCTTTCCAGGTAATGCTGTATCTGCATTTGAAGCCAGAGGCATTAACATGAGTTAAATTGTGAAAGTGTCCACTGTTAGATATTGCATTAGTGACTAGATGATCAGCCATTTGATTCCCTTCAGTCAAAAGTCCTGGAAGAGGTGTATGAACCCTAATATGAGTGATGTACAAAGGGTGCATTCTACTTCTAAATGCTATTTGTATTTTGGTAAATAAAGTCATCAGTTGTTCATCTGTATGAAATCCTAACTGAGCATTTTCAATTAACTGTGTGGAATGAACCTTGTATGAAGAAACAGAAATCACATCAATAGGCATATCAAAAACAGTCACCTCAATTACAGCAAACAGCTCTGCATTTTTAGGCATCTGGAAAACTTCACTTTTTGAGCCAGAATAAGAAGCTTTACCATTACTAGACCCTTTGTAAAAACATTCTCAGCAACCTCAATTGGTTTAAATTTAGTTATTTTAGGGAGAATCCTATTGCTTAATTTCAAAACCTGAAACAGCTTTGTTTTAGGAAAATGGTTATTGAGAATACTCCCAAAGTCAGCTAAATGGGTTTGCCAAGTAAGACTACTGATAAAAGCTTGATGTATTTGTGTCTTCCTGAGAGGGACAATAATTTTTCCAGGATCATATCCATGTAATTTAACAATCTGAGTTCTCCCAATTCCTATCATAGTAGCAATTTGATCTAAATAAAGAGTTAGAGTTCATGAATTAGTATGTGGAAGAAAAAGCCACTCTACTGAGTCCTGCTCTTGGACAATAACACCAGTAGGTGAACGTGGAGTTGAAAAAATTAGCAAATCTAGAGTCTTCTCTGGATCTATTCTACTTATTTAAGCTTTATGGACTTGCTTTTCAATCAGCTGTAACTCGACCTCAGACTCCTTTGTTGATTGCTGAGGGTTAGTGAGACTAGGATTTCCTCAAAGGATAGAAAACAGATTACTCATGGCATAGGTAGGAATGCCTAGTATGTGTCATATCCAATCAATGTCCCCTAGTAATTTTTGAAAGTCTTTAATGTTTTCAATTGATCCCTACATATGTTTACTTTCTGTGGCACAATGGTAGAGTCATTTACTGATGTCACCAATTAGGAGTAGGTAGTAGTAATCTGAATTTTGTCAGGAGCTATAATTAAACTGGTGTGAGAAATCAAATTTTGCAAGTGATCATAACATTGGAGAAACATTTATTGAGTGGGGGCAGCACAAAGTACATCATCCATATAGTGAATAATGTAACATTGTGAAAATTTTTATTAATAGGGTCAATAGATTGTCCTACATACCTCTGGCAAATTGTTGGACTGTTTAACGTGCCTTGTGGCAACACTTTCCAATAATAATGCTTAGCAGGCTGCAGGTTGTTTACTGCAGGAATTGTAAAGGCAAACCATTCACAATCTTGCTCAGCTAAGGGGATAGTAAAGAAACAAACAGTCTTTTAAATCTATGACAATTAAAGGCCAATGTTTTGGAATTACAGCAGAAGGCAATCCTGGCTGTAATGCTCCCATAAATTGATGGCTCTTAAGTCAGTTAACGTTCTCCATTTACCTGAATTTTTCTTAATTATGAAAACTGGAGAATTCCAATGGGAAAATGTTGGAGCTATGTGCCCATTTTCTAATTGTTCAGTAACTAATTTCTCTAAAGCGTCCAGTTTCTCTTTACTTAGTAGCCATTGTTCTATCCAAATTGGCTTATCTGTTACCCATTTTAAAGGTATAGGTTCTGGAGGCTTAACAATAGCTGCCATAAAAAAATGCTATCTTAAACCTTGGTGGGAACTTTGTATTTCCATTTGAAGTTGTTCTTTCTAACTTTGCAGATTTTTTCTAGTCCCATACCAGGGACATACCTCTTTTCATGCATTATATGTTGGCTTTGAAGGCTATATATTTGTTCTGGAATTAGAACTTTTGGTCCCTATTGTTGTAATAAATCTCTTCCCCATAAATTTATAGGTACAAAAGTTATAATTGGTTGAATAGTCCCAGGTTGTCCATCGGGCCCTTCACAGTGCAAAATATAACTATTTTGATATAGTTAAGGGGCTTTACCAACTTCAACTATGTTAAATTGAGAGGGTTGAATTGGCCACATGGACAGCCAGTGCTGTAGAGAAATGATTGAAATGTCTGCTCCTGTATCTACCAAATCTTTAAATTTCTTTCCTGAATAGTTATTTCACAGGTAGGATGTTTATCAGTTATTTGATTTACCCAATAAGCTGCTTTGCCTTGTTTATTTGTGCTTCCAAATCCTTCTTTTCATTTAATTTCACTTTTTCCCATTCCCACATACAGCATTATCAGGAGCTGTGCTATGCACTCTCCTGGCTCTGCTTTCCAGGGAACAGAAGTAGATATAAGAATTTGAATTTCCCCATTGTAATCTGAATCAATGACTCCTGTATGTATTTGTACCCCTTTTAAACTTAAACTAGACCTTCCTAGATGTAATCCTATTGTCCCCACTGGCAAGGGTCCACAGACTCCTGTTGGAACCTTTTGCAGGGGTTCCCCAGGCAGAAGGCTCACCACTTTTATGCAGCATAAATCTACTGCAGCACTACTGGCTGTGGTGGGAGACAGACATTGTACAAGGGTGAGGGAATGGCCTGAGCTGGAAATGCCCCAGTTTAGAATGGGGCCTAAGGTGGTCCCCTAATGGCATTTCCCAAAATTGGGTTCCCATCTTTATCAAACTTAGAATGACACTGATTAGCCTAATGTTTCCTTTTTTACATTTTGGACATATTTCTGGCTCAAGAAGTTTCTTTATTCCCCTATCTGGTGGCCTGACTCACTGATTTTTTCTACATTCTTTTTCAGTATGACCATGCTTCCCACAGTTAAAACAAGCTCCAGGAAATGGAGTATTTTCTTTATTGACCCTCAGTTCTGCCACTGCCTGTGCCAACAAAGTAGCTTTATGCAGATTACCTCCGATACCATCACAGGCCTTGACATAATCAACTAAATGTGCTTTCCCTCTGATAGGTCACAGAGCAGCCTGGCAATCGGGATTAGCATTCTCAAAAGTTAATTACTGCAACACTATAACATGAGCAGCCAAATCTGCAATCATCTTTTTAAGAGACTCCTGTAACCAAGCTATAAAACCAAAGTATGGTTCTCTTGGTCCCTGTTTTATAGCACTAAAGGAAAGGTGTTGTTCTCCACCCGAAGTGATTTTTTTCCCAAGCTCTAATGCAGACTCCACTAAGCCGTTCTATGGCATCACCCTGCATGACCACTTGTGCATCTAAACCAATGCAGATGCCAGTCCCCAAAAGCTGGTCTGCAATTATATTAATTTGAGGTTTGGCCTTGGCATTGCAAGCAGCCTGAATGGAAGCTTCATCTGGCCACCAAGTTTTAAATTGTAGCAACTGAGCAGGAGTTAGACAAGCTCAAGTAAGAGTGTCCCGGTCAGTAGGAATCATCTGACTGGAAACAGCAACATTCTTTAACAGTCCCATTAGAAAAGGAGAACCTGATCCATACTGATTTATAGTTTATTTAAATTCTTTGAGTAATTTAAAAGGAAAAGGCTCAAATATAGCTGTAATATTTTCCTGTTTATCTGGGGTGTGTATTCTAACAGGGAACTGCCAAGCCTCTAAATCACCCTCTCATCTAACTGGCTGAATTCCTGCCGGAATAAAACTAAGAGCAGTCACTCAAGCTACTGCTCAAACAGTCTCTGGGGCAACTATATTCACCCAGTGTCCTCTGGGAAATAAAGTTCTGTAGGGTCTTTTTCTTCAAAATAATATGGAGGGGGTGCCAAAGGTTAGGGATGAACCTCTCCCTCCTTTGCCACTTTAGCTTTAGCTGGCAAATAAATCTGGTCTTTAACCTCTTCTGTTACTTCATTGTACTCTCCTTCCTCCTCATCATCAGTGTGAAAAAGTTCCAAGGTAGAATGAACCAGACCCCACACTTGTCCCATTGTTACCCTGATGCTTCTGAGATACGCTTCTTACTCACCACGGGGATTGCTTTAAGAGTACTCATGTGTCCTCCAGCTAGTTCCACATTCTTCAACCGTTGATCTGGCGACCAACCTGGATTCGAGGCCCCATGAACGAGTGCCACTTGCTGAGACCAGCTGAGTCAGGGAGACCCTAACCCAGTGGTGCTAGAGGAATTAAAGACACACACACACAGAAATATAGAAGTGTGAAGCGGGAAATCAGGGGTCTCACAGTCTTCAGAGCTGATAGCCCCATACAGATATTTACCCACTTATTAACTAACAGCAAATCAGTAATTTGCATTGTTTCTATAGATATTAAATTAACTAAAAGTATCCCTCATGGGAAATGAAGGGATGGGTCAAATTAAAGGAATAAGTGGGGCTAGTTAACTGCAGCAGGAGCATGTCCTAAAGGCACAGATCGCTCATGACATTGTTTGTGGCTTAAGAATGCCTTTAAGAGGTTTTCTGCCCAGGGCAGGCCAGGAATTCCTTACCCTCATTCCAGTATACCCACAACCTTCCAGTGTGTGAGCTACAGCCATCATGAATATGTCACAGTGCTGCAGAGATATTGTTTGGGGCCAGTTTTGGGGCCAGTTTATGGCCAGATTTTGGGGGTCTTGCTCCCAACAGGTTTCAATGTGCTCCAAAATATCCCTTCACAGATTCTACAAAAAGAGTGTTTCCAAACTGCTGATGGAAAAGAAAGTTTTAACTCTAGGAGATGAATGCACACATCACAAAGCAGTTTCTCAGATAGCTTCCTTCTAATATTTATCCTGGGAAATTCACTTTTTCACCTTTGGCCTCAATGAGCTCCTAAATGTCCATTTGCCAAATGGACAAAGACAGTGGTTCCAAACTGCTGAAACAAAAGAAAGGACTAACTCTGTGAGACGAATGCAAACGTCACAGAGCAGTTTCTGAGAAAGTTTCTTTTTAGTTTTTATCTGAAGATAATTGCTTTTTCACCATAGGCCTCAGTGTGCTCTGAATTATCCCTTTGCACATTCTACAAAAACAGTGTTTCCAAACTGCTGAATGAAAGAAAGGTTTAATTCTGTGAGATGAATGTGCACATCACAAAGCAGTTTCTCAGATAGCTACCTTCTAGTTTTTAACCTGGGACATTCGCTTTTTCATCATTGGCCTAAATGTGCTCACAAATGTGAATTTGCAGAATGGAACAATACATTTTCCAAACTGCTGAATCAATAGAAATGTTTAACTCTGTGACATGAATGCACACATTACAAAGAAGTTTCTCAGAAAGCTTCTTTCTACTTTTTATCTGAAGATATTTCCTTTTTAACCACAGGCCACAATGCACTTCCAAATATTCCTTCATGGATTTTACAGAAACAGTGTTTCCTGACTGTTGAATGAAAAGAAAGGTTTAACTCTGTAAGGTGAATGCACACATGACAAACTGTTTCTCAGATAGCTTCCTTCTAGTTTTTATCCTGGGATATTCTCTTTTTTGCCATTGGCCTCAATGAGCTCCCAAACTTCCTTTCACAGGAAAGATTAAAACAGAGTTTCCAAACAGCTGAATAAAAAGAATGGTTTGACTCTGTGAGATGAATGCACACATCATAAGGCAGTTTGGCAGAAAGCTTCATTCTACTTTTTATCTGAATATAATTTCTTTTTCACCATAGGCCTCAAAGTGCTCCCAAATATCCCTTCACAGATTCTATAAAAAGAGTGTTTCCAAACTGCTGAATGAAAAAGGAGGTTTAACACTGCAAGATGAATGCACACATCACAAAGTGGTTTCTCAGGTAGCTTCCTTCTAGTTTTTATCTGGGAAATTCACGTTTTCACCATTGGCCTCAGTGAGTTCCCAGATGTCCATTTGCAGAATGGATGAAAACAGTGTTTCAAAACTGCTGAATTAAAAGACAGGTTTACCTCTGGGAGATGAATGCTTACATCACAAAGCAGTTTCTCAGAAAGCTTCTTTCTACTTTTTTCTGAATATATTTCCTTTTTCACCAGAGACCTCAATGTGCATCCAAATATCCCATTGCAAATTCTACAAAAACCGTGTTTCCAAACTGCTGAATGAAAAGTAAGGTTAACTCTGTGAGATGAATGCACACCTCACTCAGCAGTTTCAGAGATAACGTCCTTCTAGCTTTTATCCTGGGATATTCACTTTTTCACCATTGGCCTCAATGAGCTCCAAAATATCCAGTCACAAAAAGGATAAAAGCAGTGTTTCTGAACTGCTGAATTAACAGAACAGCTTAACTCTGTGAGAGGAATGGATACATAAAAAAGCAGTTTCTCAGAAAACTTCTATCTACTTCTTATCTGAAGAAATTTTCTTTTTCACAATAGGCTTCAATGTACTCCAAATATCCCTTCACAGATTCAACAAAAACAGTTTTTTCAAACTGCTGAATGAAAAGAAAGTTTAACCCCATGAGATGAATGCACACTTCATAAAGTGGTTTCACAGATTGCTTCCTTCTAGTTTTCATCATGGGTTATGTGTATTTAGCCATTGATCTCAATGAGCTCCCAATTGTCCATTCACAGAATGGACAAAAACAGTGTTTCCAAACTGCTGAATCAAAAGAAAGTTTTACCTCTGTGAGATGAATGCATATATCACAAAGGAATTTCTCAGAAAGCTTTTTTCTAGTTTTTATCTGAATATATTTTCTATTTCACCATAGGCCTCTCTGAGCTCCTGAATATCCCTTCACATATTCTACAATAACAGTGTTTCCAAACCATTGAATGAAAAGAATGGTTTAAATCTGAGAGATGAATTGTCCCTTCACAAAGCAATTTCTCAGATAGCTACCTTCTAGTTTTTATCCCAGGTTATTCATGTTTTTGCCATTGACCTCAATGAGCTCCAAAATTTCCATTAGCAGAAAGTACAAAAACAGTGTTTCCAGACTGCTGAATCAGTAGAAAAGTTTACCACTGTGAGATGAATGCACACATCACAAAGCAGTTTATCAGAAAGCTTCTATCTCTTTTTTATTTGAAGATCTTTTCTTCGTCACTGTAGGCCTCATTGCACTCCCAAATATCCCTTCACGGATTCTACAAAAGCAGTTTTTTCCAAACTGCAAAATGAAAAGAAAGTTTTACCTCTGCTAGATGAGTGCAAACATCATTAAGCAGTTTTTCAGATAGCTTCCTACTAGTTTTAATCCAGGGATATTCACTTTTTTGACATTGGCCTCCATGAGGTACAAAATGTCCATTCACAGAAAGCACAAAAGCAGTGTTTCCAGACTGCTGAATCAAAAAAAGTTTTAACTCTTGTAGATGCATGCACACATCACAAAGAAGTTTCTCAGAAATCTTCCTTCTAGTTTTAATCTGAAGATATTTCCTTTTCACAACAGGCCTCAAGGCACTCCCAAATATCCCTTCACACATTCTACAAAAGAGTGTTTCCAAACTGCTGAATGAAAAGAAAGGTTAACTCTGTGAGATGAATGCACACCTCACAAAGCAGTTTCTCAGATAGCTTCCTTTTAGTTTTTATCCTGGGATATTCCCTTTTTCACCATTGGCCACAAATAACTCCCAAATGTCCATTCCCAGAAAGGACAAAAGCAGTGTTTCCAAACTGCTGTTTCAAAAGAAAGGTATAACTCTGTGAGATGGACACATCACAAAGCAGTTTCTCAGAAACCTTCTTTCTAGTTTTTATCTGAAGATATTTCTTTTTCACTGTAGGCTTCAAAGGGCTCCCAAATATCCCTTCAGAGAATCTACAAAAACAGTGTTTAAAACTGCTGAATGAAAAAAAAGGTTTAATTCTGTGAGATGAATACACACATCACAAACCAGTTTCTGAGAAAGCTTCTTTCTACTTTTTATCTGAAGATATTTTCTTTTTCACCATAGGCCTCAATGGACTCCCAAATATTCCTTCACATATTCTAAAAAACAGTGTTTCCAAACTATTAAATGAAAAGAAATGTTTAACTCTAGAAGATGAATGCCCAAATCACAAAGTGATTTCTCTGATAGCTTCCTCTAGTTTTAATGCTGGGATATTCCCTTTTTCACCTTTGGGCTCAATTAGCTCCCAAATGTCCATTCGCAGAAAGGACAAAAGCAGTGTTTCCAAACTTCTGTATCCAAAGAAAGGTTTAACTCTGTGAGATGAATGCACACATCAGAGAGCAGTTTATCAGAAAGATTCTTTCTAGTTTTTATCTGGAGATATTTCCTTTTACACCGTAGGCCTCAATGTGCTCCCAAATATTCCTTCTCCAATTCTACAAAAACAGGGTTTCCAAACTGCTGAATAAAAAGAAGGGTTTAAATCAGTGAGATAAATGCACATATCACAGAGCAGTTTCTCAGATAGCTTCCTTCTAGTTTTTATCTTGGGAGATTGGCTTTTTCGCCTTTGACCTCAATGACCTCCTAAATGGCCATTCCCAGAATGGACAAAAACAGTGCTTCCAAAATCGTGAATCAAAAGAAAAATTTAACTCTGTGAGAAGAATGCACACATAACAAAGTAGCTTCTCAGAAAGCTTATTTCTACTTTTTATCTGGAGATATTTTGTTTTTCACTATAGGCCTCAATGTCCACCCAAATATCCCTTTGCAGATTCTACAGAAGCAGTGTTTCTAAACTGCTGAATGAAAAGAAAGGTATAAATCAGTGAAATGAATGCACACATCACAAAGCTGTTTCTCAGATAGCTTACTTCTAGGTTTTATCATGAGATATGTGCTTTTTTACCATTGGCCTCAATGATCTGGCAATTGTCCATTTGCAGGATGGACAAAAACAGTGTTTCCAAACTGCTGAATCAAAAGAAAAGTTTAACTCTGTGAGATGAATGTACACATCACAAAGCAGTGTCTCACAAATCTTCTTTCTTTTTTTTTAATCTGAAGATATTTTCTTTTTCAACATAGGCCACAAAGTGCTCCTAAGTATCCCTTTGGAGATCCTACAGAAAGAGTATTTCCAAACTGCTGAATGAAAAGAAAGCTTTAACTCTGTGAGATAAATGCAAACGTCCCAAAGAAGTTTCTCAGATAGCTTCTTTCTAGTTTTTATCCTGGGATATATGCTTTTTCACTCTTGGGCTCAATGAGATCCCAAATGTCCTTTTGCAGAATGGCAAAAACAGGTTTCCAAACTGCTGAAACAAAAAAAATGTTTAACTCTGTGAGATGAATGCACACACCATAAAGAAGTTTCTAAGAAGGATTCTTTCTAGTTTTTGTCTGAAGATATTTTCTTTTTCAAGGTAGGTCTCAATGGACTACCAAATATCCCTTCACAGATTCTACAGAAAGAGTGTTTCCAAACAGCTGCATAAAACAAAAGGCTTAACTCTGTGACATGAATGCAAACATGAAAGTGCTTTCTCAGATAGCTTCCTTCAGGTTTTTAGCATGGGATATTCACTTTTTTGCCATTGGCCTAAATGAGCTCCCAAATGTCCATTCACAGAATGGACAAAACAGTGTTTCCAAACAGTTTAATCAAAAGAAAGGCTCAACTCTGTTAAAACAGTGTTTCAAAACTTCTGAATAAAAAGAAAGTTTTATCTCTGCAAGATGAATGCACACATCACATAGTGGTTTCTCAGATAGCTTCCTTCTAGTTTTTATTTTGAGATATTTTATTTTTCACTACTGGCCTCAATGAACTCCCAAATGTCCATCCACATAATGGAAAAAAAGAGGTTTACAAACTGCTAAATGAAAAGAAACGTTTATCACTGTGAGATGAATTCAGACATCACAAAGCCATTTGTCAGAAAGCTTCTCTCTAGTGTTCCTCTGAAGATATTTTCACTGTATTCCTCAAAGCGCTCCCAAATATCCCTTGCCAGATTTAATAAAAACAGTGTTGCCAAACTGCTGAATGAAAAGAAAGGTTTAATGATGCGAGGTGAATGCAAACATCACAAAGCAGTTTCTCAGATAGCTTCCTTCCGGTTTTTTATCCTGGTTTATTCACTTTTTTGCCATTGGCCTCAATGAGCTCCCAAATATCCTTTCACAGAAAGGACAATAACACTGTTTCCAAACTGCTGAATCTAAAAAAGATTTAACTCTGGGAGATGAATGCACACATCACAAAGCAGTTTCTCAGAAAGCTTCTTTCCACATTTTAACTGAAGATACTTTCTTTTTCACCATAGGCCTCAATTTGCTCCCAAATATCCCTTCGCAGATTCTACAAAAACAGCATTTTCAAACTGCTGAAAGAAAAGAAAAGTTTAACTCTGCGAGATGAGTGCACACATCACAATGCAGTTTCTTAGATAGCTTCCTCCTAGGTTTTATCCTGGGATATTCACTTTTTCACATTTGTCCCCAAGGAGCTCTCAAATATCCACTCACAGAATGCACAAAAACGGTGTTTCCAAACTGCTGAATCCAAAGAAACTTTATGAGATGAATGCACACATCACAGAGCAGTTTCTCAGAAAGCTTCTTTCTACTTTTTATCTGAAGACATTTTCTTTTTCGCCCTAGGTATCAAGGAGTTCAAAAATATTCCTTCACAGATTCTACAAAAACAGTGTTTACAAACCGCTGAATGAAAAGAAGGTTTTAACTCTGGGAGATGAATGCTCACATCACAAATCAGTTTCTCAGATAGCTTAATTCTAGTTTTTATCCTGGGATATTCACTTTTTGGCCATTGGCCTCAATGAGCTACCAAATGTCCATTTGCAGAAAAATTAAAAAAAAAACAACAACAGCGTTTCCAAACTGCTAAATGAAAAGAAAAATTTAACTCTGTGAGACAAATGCACAAATCTCAAGAGAGTTTCTCAGAAAACTAGTTTCTATTTTTTACCTGATGATATTTACCTTTTCACCATAGACCTCAATGTGGGTCCAAATATTCCTTTGCAGATTTCACAAAAAACAGTGTTTCCAAATGGCTGAAGGAAAAGATAACTTTAACTCTGTGAGATGAATACCCACAGCACAAAGCGATTTCTCAGAGAGCTTTCTTCTAGTTTTTATCCTGGGATATTTCCTTTTTCACAATTGACCTCAATTAGCTTCCAATTGTCTTTTCCCAGAATGGACAAAAACAGTGTTTCCAAACTGCTGAATGAAAAGGAAGGTTTAACTCTGTGGGATGAATGCACACATCACAAAGTGGTTTCTCATATAGCTTCCTTCTAGTTTTTATCCTGGCGTATTCAGTTTTTCACCAGTGGCCTCATTCAGTTCCCAAATGTCCATTCACAGAAAAGACAAAAACAGTGTTTCCAAAGGGCTCAATCAAAATAAAGGTTTAACTCTGTGAGACAAATGCACACATCAACAAAGCAGTTTCTCAGAAAGCTTCTTTCTACTTTCTAACTGAAGATATTTTCTTTTTCACCAGAGGCCTCAATGCACTTCCAATATTCTTTCACAGATTCTTCAAAACTGCTGAATTAGAAGAAAGATTTAAGTGTGCCAGATGAATGCAAACTTCACAAACTGGATTCTCAGATTGCTTCCTTCTAGTTTTTATTGTAGGATATTCTCTTTTTCACCATTGGCCTCAAAGAGCTCCCAAATGTCCATTCTCAGAATTGACAAAAACAGTGTTTCCAAACTGGTGAATCAAAAGAAAGATTTATCTTTATGAGATGAATGCACACATCACAAAGCAGTTTCTCAGAAAGCTTTCTACTCTCAATCTGAAGATATTTGCTTTTTCACCATAGCTCTCAATGCCCTCCCAAATTTCTCTTTGCATATACTGTAAAAACGTTTCCAAGCTGCTGAATGGAAAGAAAGGTTTAACTCTGTGAGATGAATGCACACCTCTCAAAACATTTTCTCAGATAGCTTCCTTCAATTTGAGATATTTGCTTTTTCGCCATTGGCCTCTATGAGCTTCCAAAAGTCCATTTTCAGAATGGACAAAAACTATGTTTCCAAACTGCTGAATCAAAAGAAAGCTTCAACTCTGTGAGATGAATGTACACATCAAAAAGCAGTTCCTCAGAAAGACTCATTCTACTTTTTATCTGAATATATTTTCTTTTTCACCATAGCCTTCAAGGCACTTCTAAATATCCCTTCACAGATTCTACAAAAAGAGTGTTTCCAAATTGCTGAATGAAAGTGAGCTTTAACTCGGTGAGATGAATGCAAACCTCACCAAGCAGTTTCTCGGATCACTTTCTTCCAGTTTTTGTCCTTTGACATACGTTTTTTGTTATTGGCCTCAAAGAGCTCCCAAATGTCCATTTGCAGAATGGACAAAACAGTGTTTCCAAATTGCTGAATCAAAATAAAGGTTTAACTCTGTGAGATGAATGCATACACCAAAAAGCAGTTCCTCAGAAAGCTTCTTTCTACTTTTTATCTGAAGATATATTCTTTTTCACCACTGGCCTCAACATGTTCCCAAATATCCCTTCAAAGATTCTACAAAAGCAGTGTTTCCAAACTGCTGAATAAAAAGAAAGGTTCAACTCTGCGAGATGAATGCACACATCACATAGCAGTTTCTCAGACAGATTCCTTCTAATTTTCATCCTCAGGTGTTCCCTTTTTCACCATTGGTCTCTATGAGCTCCCAAATGTCCATTTGCAGAATGGACAAAAACAGTGTTTCCACAATGCTGGATCAAAAGAGAGGTTTAATTCTGGAGATTAATGCACACATCACAAAGCAGTTTCTCATATAGCATCTTTCCAGTTTTTAGCTGAAGATATTTTCTTTTTCACCATAGGCCTCAATGTGCTCCCAAATATCCCTTGGCAGATTTGACAGAAACAGTGTTTCCAAACTGCTGAATGAAAAGAAAAGTTTTACTCTGCAAGATGAATGCACACAACAAAAAGCATTTCCTCCAAAAGCTTCTTTCTACTTTTTATCTGAAGATATTTTCTTTTTCAGCATAGACCTCATTGTGCTCCCAAATATCCCTTTGCATATACTACAAAAACAGTGTTTCCAAACTGCTGAATGAAATGAAAGTTTTAACTCTGTTAGATGAAGGCACACATCACAAAGAAGTTTCTCAGATAGTTTACTTCCAGATTTTATCCTGTGATATTTACTTTTTTGCTATTGGACGTATGAACTCCCAAATGTCCATTCTGTGAATGGACAAAAACAGTGTTTTCAAACTGCTTAATCAAAAGAAACCTTTAGCACTGTGAGGTGAATACACACATCATCAAGCAGTTTCTCAGAAAGCTTCTTTCTAGTTTTTATCTGAAGGTATTTTCGTATGCACTGTAGTTCTCAATGCCCTCCCAAATATCCCTTCGCAGTTTCTGCAAAAACAGTGTTTCAAAACTCTTGAATGAAAAGAAAGGTTTAAATCTGCAAGTTGAATGAATACATCACAAAGTGGTTTCTCAGATAGCTTCCTTCTAGTTTTTATCCTGGGATATTCCCTTTTTTGCCATTGGTTTCAATGAGCTCCCAAATGTCCATTTGAAGAATGAAAAAGACATGTTTCCAAACTGCTGAATCCAAAAAAGTTTAACTCTGTGAGATGAATGCACATATCATAAAGCAAGTTTCTTAGAAAGCTTCTTTCTGGTTTTTATCTGAAGATATTTTCTTTTTCAACATAGTCCTCAACGCATTACCAGTTATCCTATCACAGATTCTACAAAAACAGTGTTTCCAAACTGCTAAATGAAAAGAAATTTTACCTCTGGGGGATGAATGAACACATCAAAAAGAAGTTTTTCAGAGAGCCTCCTTCTAGTTTTACCCTGGGGTATTCACTTTTTTGCCATTATCCTCACTGAGCTCCCAAATGTCACAGAAGGGACAAAAACAGTGTTTCCAAACTGCTGAATCATAAGAAAGTTTTAACTCTATGAGATGAATGCACACATCACAAAGCCATTTCTCAGAAAGACTCTTTGTACTTTTTAGCTTTAGATATTTTCTTTTTTGCCATAGGCCTCAATGTGCTCCCAAGTATCCCTTCTCAGATTCTACAAAAACAGTGTTTCCAAACTGCTGAATGAAAAGAAAGGTTGAAGTCTGTGAGATGAATGCACACATCACAAAGCGGTTTTTCAGATTGCTTCCTTCTAGTTTTTATCCTGTGATATACTCCTTTTCAATGTTGGCCTTAATGATCTCCCAAATGTCCATTCACAGAAAGCACAAAAACAGTGTTTCCAAACTGCTGAACCAAAAGAAAGTTTTAACTGTGTGAGATGGATGCACACGTGACAAAGCAGTTTCCCAGAAAGCTTCTTCCTACTCTTTATCTGAAGATATTTCTGTTTTTCACAATGGGCCACGATGTGCTCCCAAATATTCCTTCACAGATTCTACAAAAATAGTGTTTCCAAACTACTGAGTTAAAGGAAAGTTTTAAGTCTGTGAGATGAATGAACACCTCACAAAGCCCTTTCACAGATAGCTTCCTTCTAGTTTGTATCTTGGGATATTTGCTTTGTCACCACTGTCATCAATGAGGTCCAAAATGTTCATTTACAGAAATGACAAAAACAGTGTTTCCAAACTACTGAATCATAAGAAAGTTTTAACTTTGTGAGGTGAATGCCCCCCTCACAAAGGAGTTTCTCAAGATGCTTCTTTCTGATTTTTATCTGTACATATTTTCTTTTTCAACCTAGGCCTCAATGAGCTGCCAAATATCTCTTTGCAGATTCTGCAAAAACAGTGTATCCAAACTGCTGAATAAAAAGAAAAGTTTTACTCTGTGAAATGAATGCACACATCATAAAGCAGTTTCTCAGAAAGCTTCTTTCTAGTTTTTACTGAAGATATTTTCTTTTTCACCTTAGGCCTCAACAGGTTCCCAAATATTCCTTGACAGATTTTGAAGAAAGAGTGTTTTCAAACTGCTGAATGAAAAGGAAGTTTTAACACTGTGAGATGAATTAACACATCACAAAGCTGTTTCTCAGATATCTTCCTTCTAGTTTTTGTCCTTGGATACTCTCTTTTTTGCCATTGTCTTCAATGAGCTCCCAAATGTCCATTCATAGAATTGACATGAGCAGTGTTTCCAGACTGCTGAATGAAAAGAATTGTTTAACTTGATGAGGTGAATGCACACATCACAAAGAAGTTTTTCAGAAAGTTTCATTCTACTTTTCCTCATAAGACATTTTCTTTTTCGCCATAGTCCTCGATGTTCTCCAAAATATCTCTTCACAGATTGTACAAAATAGTGTTTCCAAAATGCTGAATGAAAATAAAAGTTTAACTCTGTGAGATGAATGCACACATCACAAAGTGGTTTCTCAGTTAGCGTCCTTATTGTTTTTATCCTGGGATATTTGCTTTTCCATCATTAGGCTCAATGAACTTTCAAACGTCCATACACACAATGTACAAAAACAGTGTTTCCAAACTGCTACCTGACAAGCAAGGTTAAGTCTGTGAGATGAATGCACCCATCACAAAGCAGCTTCTCAGAAAGCTTCTTTCTACTTTTATATGAAGGTATTTTCTTTTTCAGCATAGGAATCAATGCGCTTCCAAATATCTGTTTGCAGATTCTACAAAAACAGTGTTTCCAAATTGCTGAAAGAAAAGAAAAGTTTAACTCTGTCAGATGAATGCACACATCACAAAGCAGTTTCTCAAGTACCTTCCTTCTAGTATTTATCCAGTGATACTCACTTTTTGGCCATAGGCCCCCAGTGAGCTCCCAAATGTCCATTTGCAGAATGGACAAAAATAGTGTTTAAACAGTGCTAAATCAAATGAAAGTTTTGTCTCTGTGAGATGAATGCACACCTCACAAAGCTGTTTCTCAGATAGCTTCTTTCTAGATTTTACCTGAAGATATTTTCTTTTTCACCATAGGCCTATATGAGCTTTCAAATTTCCCATCACAGATACTACAAAAAGTTTTTCTAAATTTTCTTAATCCAGTCTATCATTGTTGGACATTTGGGTTGATTCCAAGTTTTTGCTATCGTGAATAGTGCCGCAATAAACATACGTGTGCATGTGTCTTTATAGCAGCATGATTTATGGTCCTTTGGGTATAAACCCAGTAGTGGGATGGCTGGGTCAAATGGTATTTCTAGTTCTAGATCCCTGAGGAACCGCCACACTGACTTCCACAATGGGGAATCCTTTCCCCATTGCTTGTTTTTCTCAGGTTTGTCAAAGAAAATGTGGCACATATACACAATGGAATACTATGCAGCCATGGAAAATGATGAGTTCATGTCCTTTGTAGGGACATGGATGAAATTGGAAATCATCATTCTCAGTAAACTATCGCAAGAACAAAAAACCAAACACCGCATATTCTCACTCATAGGTGGGAATTGAACAATGAGATCACATGGACACAGGAAGGGGAACATCACACTCTGGGAACTGTTGTGGGGTGGGGGGAGGGGAGAGGGATAGCATTGGGAGATATACCTAATGCTAGATGACGAGTTAATGGATGCAGCGCACCAGTATGGCACATGTATACATATGTAACTAATCTGCACAATGTGCACATGTACCCTAAAACTTAAAGTATAATAATAATAATAAAAAAGTTTTTCCAAACTGTTGAATGAAAAGAAAGATTTAACTCTGTGAGATTAAAGTTCACATGACCAAGCAGTTTCTCACACAGATTTCTTTTAGTTTTCATCCTGGTATATTCACTTTTTTGCCATTGACCTCGAGCTACAAAATGTCCATTCGCAGAATGGACAAAAACATTGTTGCCAAACTGCTGAATCAAAGGAAAGATTTAAATCTGTGAGATGAATGCACACATCCTAAAGCAGTTTCTCAGATAACTTCCTTCTGGTTTTTATCCTGGGATATATGCTTTTCCTCCATTGGGCTCAATGAGATCCCAAATGTCCATTTGCAGAATTGACAAAAAGAGTGTTTCAAATTTGCTGAACCAAAAGAAAGGTGGAACTCTGTGAGATGAATGCTCACATCACAACACAGTTTCACAGAAACTTTCCTTCTACTTTTTATCTTAAGATAAATTCTTTTTCACCATAGGCCTCGATCCACTCCAAAGTATCCTTTTGCAGATTCTATAAAAACAGTGTTTCCAACCTGCTGATTCAAAAGAGAGGTTAAACACTGTGAGATTAATGTACACATCTGAAAGTGGTTTCTCAGATAGCTTCCTTCTAGGTTTTATCCTGAAATATTTGCTTTCTCATCATTAGGTTCAATGAACTACAAAATGTCCATTTGCAGAATGTACAAAACCAGTGTTCCCAAACTGCTAAATCTAAAAAAGATTTAACTCTGGAAGATGAATGCACACATCACAAAGCAGTTTCTCAGAAATTTCTATCTTCATTTTTTCTGAAGATACATTCTTTTTCACCATAGGCCTCATTGTGCTTTAAAATATCCCTTCACAGCTTCTACAAAAACAGTGTTTCCAAACTGCTGAATGAATGCGTTAACTCTGCGAGGTGAACGCAGACATCACAAAGCAGTTTCTCAGAAAGCTTCTTTCTATTTTTTATCTGTAAATATTTTCTTTTTCACTTTAGGCCTTAATGCACTCCCAAATATCCCTTTGCAGTTCCTACAAAGACAGTGTTTCCAAACTCTTGATTGAAAAGAATGATTTAACTCTGCAAGATGAATGCACATATCAGAAAGCAGTTTCTCAGATAGCATCATTCTAGTTTTAATTCCAGGATATTTTCTTTTGGGCCATTGACCTCAATAAGCACCATTCTGTGAATGAACGAGCATAGTGTTTCCAAGCTGCTGAATTAAAAGAAAGGTTCAACTGTGTGAAATGAATGAACACATCTCAAAGCAGTTTCTCAGAAAGCTTCTTCCTAGTTTTTATATGAAGGTATTTACTTTTTCACCATAGGCCTCAATGCACTCCCACATATCCCTTCACGGATTCTACAAAAACAGTGTTTCCAACCTGTTGAATGAAAAGAAAAGTTTAACTCAGTGAGATGAATGCACACATCACAATGCGGTTTCTCAGGTACCTCCCTTCTACTTTTTGTCCTGGGTTATTCACTTTAACCAATGAGCTCCCAAATGTCCATTCACATAATGGACAAACACCTTGTTTCCAAACAGCTGAATCAAAAGAAAGTTTTAACTATATGAGATGCATGCATGCATCACAAAGCAGAAGTGCTTTTGCAGAAACTACCAAGGGATATTTCGGAGCACTTTGATGCCTATGGTGAAAATGCAATAGTTTTCAGACAAAAAGTAGAAGGAAGACTTCTGAGAAACTGTTTTGTAATGTGTGCATTCATCTCACAGAGTTAAGACCTTCTTTTGATTCAGCAGTTTGGAAATACTGTTTTTGTGCATTCTGTGAATGGACATTTGGGAGCTCATTGAGGCCAACGGCAAAAGAATGAATATCCCAGGATAAAAACTAGAGGGAATCTACCAGAAAAGCTGCTTTGGAATGTGGACATTCATCTCACTGAGTTAAACCTTTCTTTTCATTCTGTATTTTGGAAACACTGTTTTTGTGGAATCTTTGAAGGGATATTTGGGATCACATTGAGGCCTATGATGAAATAGAAAGTATCTTCAGACAAAAAGTAGAAAGAAGATTCCTGGAAAAACTTCTTTGTGATGAGTGCATTCTTCTTACAGAGTTTAGTATTTCTTTTGATTCAGCAGTTTGGAAAGACTGTTTTTCTCCTTTCTGTGAATGGACAATTGGGAGCTGATTGAGATCAGTGGTGAAAAACCAAATATCCCAAGATAAAGTTGTAGGAGGAAGCTATCTGAGAAACTGCTAAGTGATATGTGCATTCACCTCATGGAGGTAGTTACCTTTCTTTCAGCAGTTTGGAAATACTTTTTTATAGAATCTGTGAAGGGATATTCGGAAACGTGTTGAGATCTATGGTGAACAAGAAAATATCTTCAGATAAAAAGTAAAAAAAAAAGGTTCTGAGAAACTGCTTTGTGATGTGTGCATTCATCTCTCAGACTTAAACCTTTCTTTTGTTTCAGCAGTTTGGAAACAGTTTTTGTAGAATCTTTGAAGGGATATTTTGCTGCTCATTGAGGCCTATGCTGAAAGATAAAACATCTTCAACTAAAAATTAGAAAGAATCTGTATGATAACCTGCTTTGTGATGTGTGCATTCATCTCACAGAGATAAACCTTCCTTTTCATTCAGCAGTTTGGAAACTGTGTTTTTCCATTCTGCAAATGTAAATTTAGGAGCTCATTGAGGCCAATGGTGAAAAGGTGAATGTCCCAGGATAAAAACTAGAAGGAAGGTATCTGAAAAACAGCTTTGTGATGTGTGCATTCAACTCACAGAGTTAAATCTTTCTTTTCAATCAGCAGTTTGGAAACACTGTTTTTGTAGATCTGTGAAGGGATATTTCAGAGAGCATTGAGGCCTATTGTGAAAAAGAAAATATCGTCAGATAAAAACTAGAAAGTAGCTTTCTGAGAAACTGATTTGTGATGTGTGCTTTCATCTCACAGAGTAAAACCTTTCTTTTGATTTATCAATTTGAAAACACTGTTTTTCTCCATTCTGCAAATGGACTTTTGGGGTTCATTGAGGCCAATGGGGAAAAATCGAATATCCCAAGATAAACACTAGAAGGAAGCTGTCTGAGAAACTCCTTTGTGATGTGTGCATTCATCTCATAGAGTTAAACCTTCCTTTTAATTCAGCAGTTTGGAAACACTGTTTTTGTATAATCTGCAAAGGGATATTTTGGAGCATGTTGATGCCTATGGTGAAAAAGAAAGTATCTTCAGAAAAAAACTGGAAAAAAACTTTCTCAGAAAGTGCTTTGTGATGTGTGCTTCCATGGCACAGACTTAAACCTTTCTTTTGATTCAGCAGTTTGTAAACACTGTTTTTATCCATTCTGTGAATGGACATTTGGGAGCTCATTGACGCCAATGGCTAAAAACCAAATATCCCAGGATAAACACTAGAAGGAAGCTATCTGAGAAACTGCTTTGAGAAGCGTGCATTCTTCTCACAGAATTAATCCTTTCTTCTCACTCAGCATTTTGGAAACACTGTTTTTGTAGAATCCATTAAGGGGTATTTTGGAATGCCTGGAGGTCTATGGTGAAAAAGAAAATATTTTCACATAAAAACTAGAAAGAAATTTTCTGAGAAAATGCTTGTGATGTGTGCATTCATCTCACAGAGTTAAACCTTTCTTTTGATTAAACAGTTTGGAAACACTGTTTTTGTCCATTCTGCAAATGGACATTTGGGACCTCACTGAGGGCAAAGGAGAAAAAGTGAATATCCGAGGATAAACACTAGGAGGAAGCTATCTGAGAAACTGCTTTGTGATATGTGCATTTATCTCACTGAGTGAAACAATTATTTTCATTAATTAGTTTGGAAACACTGTTTTTGTTGAATCTGCAAAGGGATACTTGGAAGTGCATTGAGGCCTATGGTGAAATGGAAAATATCTTCAGATAAAAAGTAGAAAGAAGATTTCTGAGAAACTGCTTTGTGATGTCTGCATTCACCTCTTGAAGTGAAACCTTTCTTTTGATTCAGCAGTTTGGAAACACTGTTTTTGTCCATTATGTGAATGGACATTTTGTAGCTGATTGAGACAAATGGCAAAAAGCGAATATCCCAGGGTGAAAACTAGAAGGAAGTTATCCGAGAAACCACTGTGTGATGTGTGCATTCATCTCACAGAGGTAAACCTTTCTTTTCAATCAGCAGTTTGGAAACACTGTTTTTGTAGATTCTTCGAGGGGATATTTCGGAGTGCATTTAGGCCTATGGTGAAAAAGAAAATATCTTCTGATAAAAACTAGAAAGAAGCTTTCTGAGAAACTGGTTTGTGATGTGTGTTTTCATATCACAGAGTTAAATCTTTCTTTTCATTCAGCACTTTGGAAAAACTGTTTTTGTCCATTCTGCAAATGGACATTTGGGAGATCATTGAGGCCAATGGCAAAAAGTTGAATATCCCAGGATAAACACTTGAAGGAAGCTATCTGAGAAACCGCTTTGTGATGCATGTTTTCATCTCACGAGTTAAACCTTTCTTTTCATTCAACAGTTTGGAAACACTGTTTTTTTAGAATCTGTGAAGGCATAATTTGGAGAATGTTGAGGCCTATCATGAAAAAGAAAATATCTTCAGATAAAAACAAGAAAGAAGCTTTCTGAGAAACTGCTTTGTGATATGTGCACTCATCTCACAGAGTTAAACCTTTCTTTTGGTTCAACAGATTGGAAACACTGGTAGAATCTGCAAAGGGATATTTGGGAGCACTTTGAGAACTATGGTGAAAACGAAAATATCTTAAGATAAAAAGTAGAAAGAAGCTTTCTGAGAAACTGCTTTGTGATGTGTGCATTTATCTCACAGAGGTAAACTTTCCTTTTGATCCAGCGGTTTGGAAACACTGTTGTTGTAGCATCTGCAAAGGGATATTTAGGAGCACATTGAGGCCTATGGTGAAATAGAAAATATCTTCCAATAGAAACTAGACAGAAGCATACTGAGTAATTGTTTTGTGATGTGAGCATTCATCTCCCAGTGTTAAACGTTTCTTTTCATTCACCAGTTTGGAAACAGTGTTTTTGTCCATTCTGTGAATGGGCATTTGGGAGCTCATTGAGGCCAATGGAGATAAATGGAATAGCCCAGGATAAAAACTTCAAGGAAGCTATCTCAGAAACTACTTTGTGATGTGTGCATTTATCTCGCAGAGTTAAAACTTTCCTTACATTCAGCAGTTTAGAAAACTGATTTTGTAGAATCTGTGAAGGGATATTTGGGAGCACATTGAAAGCTATGGTGAAAAAGAAAATATCTTCAGATAAAAACTGAAGGAAGCTTTCTGACAAACTGCTTTGTGATAGGTGCTTTCATCTCATGGAGTTAAACCTTTCTTTTGATTCAATAGTTTGGAAACACTGTTTTTGTTCATTCTGTGAATGGATATTTGGGAGCTTATTGAGGCCAAGGCAGAAAAAGGGAATACCCCAGGATAAAAACTACAAGGAAGATATCAGAGAAACAGCTTTGTGATGTTTGCATTCCTCTCACAGAGTTAAACCTTTCTTTTTATTCAGCAGCTTGGAAACATTGTTTTTCCAGAATCTGCAAAGGGATATTTTGGAGTGCTTTGAGAACTACAGTGAAAAAGAAAATATCTTAATGTAAAGAGTAGAAGAAGCTTTCTGAGAAACTGCTCTGTGATGGGTGTATTCATCTAACAGAGTTAAACATTATTTTTGATCCAGCAGTTTGGAAGCACTGATTTTGTAGAATCTGTGAAGGGATATTTTGGAGCACATTGAGGCCTATGGTGAAAAAGAAAATATCTTCAAATAGAAACTAGACGGAAGCTTTCTGAGAAACTGCTTTGTGGTGTGTGCTTTCATCTAACAGAGTTAAATGTTTCTTTTGATTCAAGAGTTTGGAAACAGTGTTTTGTCCATTCTGCAAATGGACATTTGAGAGCTCATTGAGATCAATGGTGAAAAAGGGAATATACCAGGATAAGAAGTAGAAGGAAGCCATTTGAGAAACCACAATGTGAAGTCTGCATTCATCTCACAGAGATAAATATTTCCTTTCATTCAACCGTTTGGAAACACTTTTTTTGTAGGATCTGCAAAGGGATATTTTGGAGCACATCGAGCCCTTGGTGAAAAAGAAAATATCTTCAGATAAGAGGTAGAAAGAAGCTTTCTGAGAAACTAATTTCTGATGTGTGCATTCATCCCACATAGCTAAACATTTTTTTTATCCAGTAGATCGGAAACAGTATTTTTGTCACTCTGTGAATGGATATTTGGGAGCTCCTTTAGGCTGATAGAGAGAAAGCAAATATCCAAGGATAAAAACCGGAAGGAAGCAATCTGAGAAAACCCCTTTGTGACATTTGCATTCATCTCCCAGTGTTAAAACTTTCTTTTCATTCAGCAGATAGGAAACAATGTTTTTGTAGGATCTGCTAAGGGATAATTTGGAGTGCTTTGAGGCATATGGTGAAAAAGAAAATACTTTAAGATAAAAAGTACAAAGAAGCTTTCTGAGAAACTGTTTTCTGATGTGTACATTTATCTCACAGAGTTAAACCTTTCTTTGGATACAGCAGTTTGAAAACACTGTTTTTGTCTATTCTACAAATGGACATTTTGGCACCCATTGAGGCCAATGGTGAAAAAGCAAATTTCCCTGGATAAAACCAGAAGGAAACTATCTGAGAAACGGCTTTGTTATGGGGACATTCATCTCACACAGTTAAACCTATCTTCTCATTCAGCATTTTGGAAACACCGTTTTTGTAGAATCTGCGAAGGGATATTAGGGAGCGTATTGAGGCCTATGGTGAAAAAGAAAATATCCTCAGATAAAAAGTAGAAAGAAGCTTTCAGAGAAACTGCTTTGTGAGAAGTGAATTCATCTCCCAGAGTTAAACCTTTCTTCTGATTCAGCAGTTTGGAAACCTGTTTTTGTCCATTCTGTGAATGGAAATTTGGGAGCTCATTGAGGCCAGTGGCAAAAAGAAGAATATCCCAGGATAAAAACTAGAAGGAAGCTATCAGAGAAACATCTTTGTGATGTGTGCATTCATCTCACAGAGTTAAATCTTTCTTTTCATTCAGCAGTTTGGAAAAACTGTTTTTGTAGAAACTGTGAACGGATATTTGAAAGCTCATCGAAGTCTATGGTGAAAAAGAAATTATCTTCAGATAAAAAGAAGAAAGAGGCTTTCTGAGAAACTGTTTTGTGATGTGTACGTTCATCTCACAGAGTTAAACCTTTCTATTCATTCAGCAGTTGGAAAACACTGGCTTTGTCATTTCTGTGAAAGGACATTATGGAGCTCATTGAGGCCAAAGGTGTAAAAGTGAATATCTCAGGATAAAAATGAGACCATCTGAGAAACAACTTTGTGATGTGTGCATTCATCTCGAAGAGTAAAATGATTCTTTTCATTCAGCAGTTTGGAAACGCTGTTTTTGTAGAATCTGTTAAGGGATATTTCAGAGTGCCTAGAGGCCTACAGTGAAAAAGAAAATATCTTCAGATAAAAACTAGAATGAAGCTTTCTGAGAAACTGCTTTGTGATGTGTGAATTCATCTCAGAGAGTTAAGCCTTTCTTTTGATTCAACAGTTTGAAAAGACTGTTTTTGTCCATTCTGTGAATGGACATTTTGGACCCCACTGACACCAATGGAGAAAAAGCAAATATTCCAGGATAAACAGTAGAAGGAAGCTGAGAAACTGCTTTGTGATATGTGCATTAATCTTTCAGAGTTAAACCTTTCTTTTCATTCAGCAGTTTAGAAACACTGTTTTTGTAGAACCTCCAAAGGGATATTTGGGACCCCATTGAGGCCTATGGTGAAAAAATAAATATGTTCTTATAAAAACTAGAAAGAAGCTTTCTGAGAAACTGCTTTGTGATGTGTGCATGCGTCTCACAGAGTTAAACCTTTCTTTTCATTCAGCAGTTTGGAAACACTGTTTTTGTGGAATCTCTGAAGGGATATTTCAGAACACATTTAGGCCTATGGTGAAAAAGAAAATATCTTCAAATAAAAACATGACAGAAACTTTCTGAGAAACTGTTTTTTGATGTGTGCATTCATCTCACAGTGTTAAACATTTCTTTTCATTCAACAGTTTGGAAACAGTGTTTTTGTCCATTCTGCATATGGACATTTGGGAGTTCATTGACACCAATGGAGAAAAGCAAATATCCCAGGTTAAAAACTTCAAGGAAACTATCTGAGAAACTACTTTGTGATGTATGCATTCATCTCACAGAGGTAAACCTTTCATTACATTCAGCAGTTTGGAAACACTGTTTTTGTAGAACCTGTGAAGGGATATTTGGGATCCCCTTGAGGCCTATGGTGATAAAGTAAATATCTTCTTATAAAAACTAGAAAGAAGGTTTCTGAGAAACTGCTTTGTGATGTGTGCATTCGTCTCACAGAGTTAAACCATTCCTTACATCCAGCAGCTTGGAAACACGATTTTGTAGAATCTGTGCAGGGATATTTCAGAGAGCTTTGAGGCTTATGGTAAAAAAGGAAATATCTTCAAACAATAACTAGACAGAAACTTTCTGCAAAACTGCTTTGTGATGTTTGCTTTCATCTCACAGAGTTAAAATTTCCTTTGGTTTCAATAGTTTGGAAACACAGTTTTTGTTCACTCTGCCAATGGCCATTTAGGAGATCATTGAGGCCAAAGGAGAAAAAGCAAATGTCTCAGGATAAAAAATTGAAGGAAGCTGTGTGAGAAACTGCCATGTGATGTTTGCATTCGTCTCACAGAGTTAAACCTTTCTTTTCATTCAGCAGTTTGGAAACACTGTTTTTGTTGAATCTGCAAAGGGATATTTCAGAGCCCAAAGAGTCCTATGTTGAAAAAGTAAATATCTTCATATAAAAACTAGAAAGAAGCTTTCTGAGACACTGCTTTGTGATGTGTGTATTCATCTCACAGAGTTAATCCTTTCTTTTGATTCAACAGTTTAGAAACACTGTTTTTGTCCACTCTGCAAAGGGATAATTGGGGGAGAATTGAGGCCTAATATGAAAAAGAAAATATCTTCAGATAGAAACAAGAAAGAAGCTTTAAGAGAAACTGCTTTGTGATGTGTGGCTTCATCTCACAGAGTTAATCCTTTCTTTTGATTCAACACGTTGGAAACACTGTTTTTGTCCATTCTGTGAAGGGATATTTAAGAGTGCCTTGAGGCTTAAGGTGAAAAAGAAAATATCTTCAGATAAAACTAGAAAGATGCTTCTGAGAAACAGCTCTGTGATGTGCACATTCCTCTCACAGAGTTAAACGTTTGTTTTCTTTCAGCAGTTTGGAAACACTGTTTTTGTAGAATCTGCAAAGGGATAATTTGGAGCCCAATGAGGCCTATGATGAAAAAGGAAATATCTTCAAATAATAACTAGACAGAAGGTTTCTGTGAAACTGCTTTGTGATGTCTACTTTCATCTCACAGAATTAAAATTTTCTGCTTTTTCAACAGTTTGGAAACACTGTTTTTGTCCATTCTGTGACAGGACATTTGGGAGCTCATTGAGGCCAAAGAAGGAAAAGAGAATACCCAAGGATAAAAATAAAAGGAAGCCATCTGAGAAACGGATTTGTGAGGTGCACAAAAAAAAAAAGCTGAGTTAAACCTTTCTTTTCATTCAGGAGTTTGGAAACCCAGTTTGTGTAGTATCTGCAAAGGGATATTTGGTAGCCCATCGTGTCCTTTGGTGAAAAAGTAAATATCTTCATATAAAAACGAGAAAGAAGCTTTCTGAGAAACTGCTTTGTGATGTCTGCTTTCATCACACAGAGTTAAAACAAACATTCTTTTGTTTCAACAGTTTGCAAACACTGCTTTGTCCATTCTGTGAATGAACATTTGGGAGCTCTTTGAGATCAATGGAGGAAAAGCAAATATCCCAGGATAAAAACTATATGGAAGTAATCTGAGAAACTGATTTGTGATGTGTGCATTTATCTCACACATTTAAACCTTTCTTTTCATTCAGCAGTTTGGAAAACTCTTTTTGTAAAATCTGCAAAGCGATATTTGGGAGACCATTGAATCCTATGGTGAAAAAGTAAATATCTTCACATAAAAACTGGAAAGAAGCTTTCTGAGAAACTGCTTTGTGATGTGTGCATTCATTTCACAGAGTTAAACATTTCTTTTGATTCAGCAGTTTTGAAACATTGTTTTTGTCCATTCTGCAAAGGGATATTTGGTAGCACATTTAGGTCTATGGTGAAAAAGAAAATATCTTCAGATAAAAACTAGAAAGAAGCTTTCTGAAAAACTGCTTTGTGTTGTGTGCTTTCATCTCACAGAGTTAAAAATTTCTTTCATTTCAACAGTTTGGAAACACTGTTTTTCTCCATTCTGCCAATGGCTATTTTGGAGAGGATTGAGGCCAAGGAGAAAAAGTGAATATCCCAGGATAAAAAGTTCAAGGAAGCTATGAGAGAAACCGTTATGTGATGTGAGCATTCATCTCACAGAGTTAAACCTTTCTTTTCATTCAGCACTTTGGAAACACAGCTTTTGTAGCATCTACAAAGGGATATTTTGGAGCACATTTAGTCTTTTGGTGCAAAACTAAATATCTTCATATAAAAACTAGGAAGAATCTTTCAGAGAAACTGCTGTGTGATGTGTGCTTTCATCTCACAGAGTTAATCCTTTCTTTTGATTCAACAGTTTTGAAACACTGTTATTGTGAAGGGATATTTCAGAGCAAATTGAGGCCTATGGTGAAAAAGACAATATCTTCAGATAAAAACTAGAAAGAAGCTTTCTGAGAAACTGCTTTGTGATGTGTGGTTTCATCTCAGAGTTTAATATTTCTTTTCATTCAACAGTTTGGAAACATTCTTTTTGTTTATTCTGCAAAGGGAAATTTGGGAGCGCATTGAGACCTATGGTGAAAAAGAAAATATCTTCAGATAAAAAATAGAAGGAAGTTTCAAGAGAAATGACTTAGTGATGTGTGGTTTCACCTCACAGAGTTAAACCTTTCTTTTCATTCAGCACTTAAAACACTGTTTTTGTAGAATCTGTGAAGGGATATTGGGAGTGCTTTCAGACCTATGTTGTAGAAGAAAATATCTCAAGATAAAAAGTACAAAGAAGCTTTCTGAGAAACTGCTCTGTGATGGGTGCATGCAACTCACAGAGTTAAACCTTTCTTTTGATACAGCAGTTTGGAAACACTGTTTTTGTAGAATCTACAAAGGGATATTTTAGAGTGTATTGAGGTCTATGGTGAAAAAAGAAATATCTTCAAATAAGAACTAGACAGAAGCTTTCAGAGAAACTGCCTTGGATGTGTGCTTTCATCTCACAGAGTTAACACTTTCTTTTGGTTCAACTGTTTGGAAACACTGTTGGTGTCCATTCTGTGAATGCACATTTGGGAGTTCATTGAGGCCAATGGAGGAAAAGTGTATATCCCAGGATAAAAACTAAAAGGAAACTATCTGAGAAACTGATTTGTGATGTTTGCATTCATCTCACATAGCTAAACCTTTCTCTTCATTCAGCAGTTTGGAAATGGTGTTTTTGCAGGATCTGTGAAGGGATATTAGGGAGCCCATTGAGGCCTATGGTGAAACAGTAAATATCTTCATATAAAAACTAGAAAGAAGCTTTCTGAGAAATTGATTTGTGATGTGTGCATTCATCTCACGGGATGAAAACTTTCTTTTGATCCAGCACTTTGGAAACACTGTTTTTGTAGAGTCTGCAAAGGGATATTTTGGAGAGCATAGAGGCCTACAGTGAAAAAGAAAATATTTTCAAATAAAACTAGAAGAAGCTTTCTGAGAAACTGCTTTGTGATGTGTGTATTCAACTCACAGAGTTAATCTTTTCTTTTGATTCAACAGTTTTGAAACACAGTTTTTGTCCATTGTGTGAAGGGCTATTTGGGAGCGCATTGATGCCTATGGTGAAAAAGAAAATATCTTCAGATAAAAACAAGAAAGAAGCTTTCTAGAAACTGCTTTGTGATATGTGCAGTCATCTCACAGAGTTAAACCTTTCTTTTCGTTCAGCAGTTTGGAAGCACTGTTTTTGTAGAATCTGCAAAGGGATATTTGGGAGCACATTGAGACCTATGTTGTGGAAGAAAATATCTTAAGACAAAAAGTAGACAGGAGCTTTCTGAGAAACTGCTCTGTGATGGGTGCATTAACCTCACAGAGTTAAACCTTTCTTTCCATCCAGCAGTTTGGAAAAACTGTTTTTTGTAGAATCGGTGAAGGGATATTTAGGAGTCCACTGAGGCCTATATTGAAAAGTAAATATCTTGACATAAAAACTAGGAAGAAGCTTTCTGAGAAACTGTCTTGTGATGTGTGGTTTCATCTCACAGAGTTAAACATTTCTTTTCATAGAGGGGTTTAACACTGTTTTTGTCAATTTTGCAAATTGACGTTTGAGAGCTCATTGAGGCCAAGAGAGAAAAAGCGAATATCCCAGGATAAAAGCTTCAAGGAAGCCATCTGTGATACTGCTTTGTGATGTGTGAATTTATCTCGTAGAGTTAAAACTTTCCTTACATACAGTAGTTTAAAAACAGTGTTTTTATAGAATTTGTGAAGGGATATTTGGGAGCCCATTGAGGCCTATGGTGAAAAAGTAAATATCTTCATATAAAAATAGAAAGAAGCTTTATGTTAAACTTCGTTGTGTTGTGTGAATTCATCTCACAAAGGAAAAATTTTCTTTTCATTCAGCAGTTTGGAAACACTGTTTTTGTAGAATCTGCAAAGGGATATTTAGGAGCACATTGAGGCCTAAGGTGAAAATGAAAATATCTTCAAATAAAAACTAGAGAGAAGCTTTCTGAGAAACTGCTTTGTGATGTATGCTTTCATCACACAGACTTAGAAGTTCCTTTAGTTTCAACAGTTTGGGAACACTGTTTTTGTCCATTCTGCCAATGGCCATTATGATCATTGAGGCAAAGGAGAAAAAGTGAATATCCCAAGATAAAAACTTCAAGGAAGCTATGTAAGAAACTCCTATGTGATGTCTGCATTCACCTCACAGAGTTAAAACTTTCTTTTCACTCAGCACTTTGGAAACAGTTTTTGTAACATCTACAGAGGGATATTTTGGAGCCCATTTAGTCTTTTGGTGAACAGGTATATATCTTCCTATAAAAACTAGAAAGAATCTTTTGGAGAAACTGCTGTGTGATGTGTGCATTCATCTCACAGAGTTAATCCTTCCTTTTGATTCAACAGATTTGAAACACTGTTATTGTAGAATCTGTGAAGGGATATTTCAGAGCAAATTGAGGCCTATGGTGAAAAAGAAAATATCTTCAGATAAAAACTAGAAAGAAGCTTTCCGAGAAACTCCTTTGTGATGTGTGGTTTCATCCCACAGAGTTTAATATTACTTTTCATTCAACAGTTGGGAAGCCCTCTTTTTGTCTATTCTGCAAAGGGAAATTTGGGAGTGCATTGAGACCTATGGTGAAAAAGAAAATATCTTCAGATAAAAACTAGAGAGAAGCTTTCTGAGAAACTGCTTTGGATGTGTGCTTTCATCTCACAGAGTTAAGACTTTCTTTTGGTTCAACTGTTTGGAAACATTGTTCATGCCCCTTCTGTGAATGCACATTTGGGAGTTCATTGAGGCCAGTGGAGTAAAAGTGTATATCCCAGGATAAAAACTACAGGGAAACTATCTGAGTAAACCAATTTGAGATGTTTGCATTCATCTCACAGATTTAAGCCTATGGTGGAAAAGGAAATATATTCATATAAAAAGTAGACAAAAGCATTCTAAGAAACTTCTTTCTGATGTGTGCATCCAACTCACAGAGGTTAACATTTCTTTTGATTGAACAGTTTAGAAACTGTCTTCTTGTTATATCTGTAAATTGATATTTGGGGCACTTTGAGGCCTAGAGGTGAAAAGGAAATATCTTCACATAAAACCTAGACAGAAACATTCTGAGAAACTTCTTTGTGACGTAAGCATTCATCTCACAGATATTAACCTTTCTTTTGATTGAGCATTTCTGAAACACTCTTTTTGTAGCATCTGTAAGTGGATATTTGGGGTGCTTTGAGGCCTATGGTGGAAAAGGATATATCTTAATATAAAAACTAGACAGAAGCATTCTCTGAAACTTTTTTGTGATGTGTGCATTCATCTCACAGAGTTGAACCTTTCTTTTCATTGAGCAGTGAAAATATCTTCACATAAAATATCTTCACATAAAAACTAGACAGAAGCACTCTCAGAAACTTCTTTGAGATGTTTGCATTCAACTCACAGAGTTGATACTTTCTTTTGAGAGAGCCATTTTGAAACACTCTTTTTGTAATATCTGCAAATGGATATTTGGAGTGCTTTGAGGCCTATAGCTGAAAAGGAAATATCTTCGCAGAAAAACTAGACAGAAGCATTCTCAGAAACTTTTTTGTGATGTATGCATTCAACTCACAGTTTTGAAATTTTCTTTTGATTGAGCAGTTTGGAAACACTCTTTTGTAGTATCTGCAAATGGATATTTGGAGCACTTTGAGGCCTATAGCTACAAAGGAAATATCTTCACATAAAAACTAGACAGAAGCATTCAGAGAAACTTCTTTGTGATGTTTGCATTCATCTCACAGAGTTGAACGTTTCTTTTGATTGAGCAGTTTTGAAACACTCTTTTTGTAGAGTCTGCAAGTGGATATTTGGAAAACTATGAGGCCTATGGTGGAAAAGGAAATATCTTCACATAAAAACTAGACAGAAGCATTCTCAGAAACTTTTTTGTGATGTGTGCAATCAACTCACAGAGTTGAACCTTTCTTTCGATAGAGCTGTTTTAAAACACCCTTTTGGTAGTACCTGCAAAAACACATTTGGAGCTCTTTGAGACCTATAGCTGAAAAGGAAATATCTTCATATAAAAACTAGACAGAAGAATTCTGAGAATCTTCTTTGTGATGCGTGCATTCATCTCAGAGAGTTGAATCTTTCTTTTGGTTGAGCAGTTTTGAAACACTCTTTTTGTAGAATCCATAAGTGGAAATTGGGAGCGCTTTGAGTTCTGTAATGGAAAAGGAAATATCTTCACATTAAAATTAGATGGAAGCACTCTGAGAAACTTCTTTGTGATGTGTGCATTCATCTCAGAGAGTTGAACTTTTCTTTTGATTGAGCAGTTTTCAAACACCTTTTTTGTAGAATCTGGAAGTGGATATTTGGAGTGGTTTAAGTTTTGTGGTGGTTAAGGAAATATCTTCACATGAAAACTAGACAGAAGCATTCTCAGAAACTACTTTGTGATGTGTGCATTCAACTTACAGAGTTGAACCTTTCCTTTGATAGAGCAGTTTGGAAATACTCTTTTTGTAGTATGTGCAAAAGGATATTTGGAGCTCTTTGAGGCCTATAGCTGAAAAGGAAGTATCTTCATATAAAAACTAGAGAGAAAAATATTGAGAATCCTCTCTGTGATGCGTGCATTCATCTCTCAGAGTTGAACCTTTCTTTTGATTGAGCAGTTTTGAAACACTCTCTTTGTAGTATCCGTAAGTGGATGTTTGGAGTGCTTTGAGGCTTATTGTGGAAAAGTATATATCTTCATATAAAAACAAGACAAAAGCATTATCAGAAACTTTTTTGTGATGTATGCACTCAACACACGGAGTTGAACTTTTCTTTTGATTGAGCAGCTTGGAAACACTCTTTTTGTAATATCTGCAAATGGATATTTGGAGCCCTTTGAGACCTATAGCTAAAAAGGAAATATCTTCACATAAAAACTAGACAGAAGCATTCTCAGAAACTTCTTTGTGATGTGTGCATTCATCTTGTAGAGTTGTACCTTTCTTTTGATTGAGCAGTTTTGAAACACTCTTTTTGTAGAATCTGCAAGTGGATATTTGGAGCACCTTGAGGCCTATGTTGTAAAAGGAAACATCCTCACATAAAAACTAGACATGCTTCATTCTCAGCAACTTCTTTGAGGTGTGTGCATTCAACTCACAGAGTCGAACATTTCTTTTGATTGAGCAGTTTGGAAACACTCTTTTTGTAATATCTGCAGATGGATATTTGGAGCACTTTGAGGCCTATACCTGAAATGGTAATATCTTCACATAAAAAGTAGATAGAAGCATTCTGAGAAACTTCTTTGTGATGTATGCATTCATCTCACAGAGTTGAACCTTTCTTTTGATTGAGCAGTTTTGAAACACTCTTTTTGTAGAATCTGCAAAAGGATATTTGGGGCGCTTTGAGGCCTATGTTGGAAAAGGAAATACCTTCACATAAAAACTAGACAGAAGCATTTCAGAAACTTTTTTGTGTTTTGTGCCTTCAACTCACAGAGTTGAACGTTTCTTTTGATTGAGCAGTTTGGAAACACTCTTTTTGTAGAATTTCCAGTTGGATATTTGGAGCGCTTTGTTTCCTATAGCTGAAAAGGAAATATCTTCACATAAAAATTAGACAGAAGCATTCTGAGAAACTAATTTGTGATGTGTGCATTCATCTCACAGTGTTGAAACTTTCTTTTGATTGAGCAGTTTCGAAACACTCTTTTTGTAGAATTTGGATGTGTATATTTGGAGTGCTTTGTGGCCTGTTGTGGAAAAGAAAATATCTTCACATAAAAACTACACAGAAGCATTCTGAGAAACTTCTTTGTGATGTGTGTATTCAACTCACAGAGTTGAACGATCCTTTACACAGAGCAGACTTGAAACACTCTTTTTGTGGAATTTGCAAGTGGAGCTTTCAGCCGCTTTGAGGTCAATGGTAGAATAGGAAATATCTTCCTATAGAAACTAGACAGAATGATTCTCAGAAACTCCTTTGTGATGTGTGCATTCAATTCAAAGAGTGAAACCTCTCTTTTCACAGAGCAGTTTTGAAACACTGTTTTTGTAGGATTTCCAAGGGGATATTTATAGCGCATTGAGCCTACGGCGGAAAAAGAAACATCTTCCTATAAAAACTAGACAGAATACTTCTCAGAATCTGCTTTGCGATGTGTGCGTTCAACTCACAGAGTAAAACTTTTCTTTTGATAGAGCAGTTTTGAAACACTCTGTTTGTAAAGTCTGCAAGTGGATATATGGAGCGCTTCGAGGCCTTCTTTGGAAACGGGAGTATCTTCACATAAAAAGTAGACAGAAGTATTCTCAGGAACTTCTTTGTGATGTCTGCACTCAACTCACAGAGTTGTAACTTCCTTTTTATAGACCAGTTTTGAAACACTCTTTTTGTAGAATTTGCAAGTGGATATTTAGAGCTCTTTGGGGCCTATGGTAGAAAAGGAAATATCTTCATAAGAAAACTACACAGAAGCATTCTGTGAAACTAGTTTGTGAGGTTTGCATTCAACTCATAGGGTTAAACATTCTTTTTGATAGAGCAGTTTTGTTACACTCTTTTTGTAGAATCTGCAAGTCTATATTTGGACCTCTTTGATGTCTTTGTTGGAAACGGGAATTTCTTGAAATAAAAACCAGAAAGAAGAATTCGCAGAAACTTTTTTTGACGAGTGCATTCAACTCACAGAGTTGAACCTTCCTTTCGATAGGGCAGTTTGAAAACACTCTTTTTGTAAAATTTCCAAGTGAATATTTAGAGCGCTTGGAGGCCTATGGTAGAAAAGGAAATATCTTCATAGAAAAACTAGACAGAATCATTCTCAGAAACTACTTTGTGATGTCTGCGTTCAACTCACAGAGTTTAACCTTTCTTTTCATAGAGCAGTTTTGAAACACTCTGTTTGTAATATCTGCAAGTGGATATTTGGCGCACTTTAACGCCTATGGTAGAAAAGGAAATATCTTAACATAAAAACTTGACAGAAGCATTCTCAGAGACTACTTTGTGATGTTTGCATTCACTTCACAGAGTTAAACATTCCTTTTGATACAGCAGTTTTGAAACACTCTTTTTAAAAAATCTGCAAGTGCATATTAGGACCTCTTTGAGATCTTCGTTAGAAACGGGAATTTCTTCACATAAAAACTAGACAAAATAATTCTCAGAAACTTTTTGTGATGTGTGCATTTAACTCTCAGAGTTGAACATTCCTTTAGATAGAGCAGTTTTGAAACACTCTTTTTGTAGAATTTCCAAGTGGATATTTAGAGCGCTTTGAAGCCTGTGGTAGAAAAGGAAATATCTTCACATAAAAACTAGACAGAATCATTCTCAGAAACTACTTTGTGATGTGTGCGTTCAACTCACAGAGTTAAACCTTTCTTTTGATAGAGCACTTCTGAAAAACTCTGTTTGTAAAGTCTGCAAGTTGATAATTGGAGCGCTTTGAGGCCTTCTTTGGAAATGGGAATATCTTCCCTCTAAAAGCACATAGAAGTATTCTCAGAAACTTCTTTGTGATGTCTGCACTCCACTGAAACAGTTGAACCTTCCTTTTGATAGAGAAGTTTTGAAACACTCTTTTTGTAGAATGTGCAAGTGGATATTTAGAGAACTTAGTGGACTATGGTAGAAAAGGAAATATCTTTATATAAAAACAAGACAGAATCATTTTCAGTAACTTTTATGTGATGTGTGTGTTCAACTCACCGAGTTTAACCTTTCTTTTGATAGAGCAGTTTTGAAACACTCTTTTTGTAGAATTTGCAATTGTATATTTACAGCGTTTTGAGGCCTGTGGTAGAAAAGTAAATATCTTCACATAAAAACTAGATAGAAGCATTCTCAGAAACTACTTTGTGATATTTTGATTCAAATCACAGAGTTCAACATTCCTTATGATAGAGCAGTTTTGAAACACTCTTTTTGTAAAATCTGCAAGTGGATATTTGGACCTCTTAGGGCCCTTCGTTGAAAACGGGAATTTCCTTACAAAAAAATTTGAACGAAGAATTCTCAGAAACATTTTCTGATGTGTGCATTGAACTCGCAGAGTTAAATCTTCCTTTTGATAGAGCAGTTTTGAAACACTCTTTTACAGAATTTCCAAGTGGATATTTAGAGTGCTTTGAACCCTATGATAGAAAAGGAAATATCTTCACAGAAAAACTAGACAGAAGCATTCTCAGAAATTACTTTGTGAAATCTGGACTCAACTCACAGAGTTTAACCTTTCATTTGATAGAGCAGTTTTGAAACATTCTGTTTGTAAAGGCTGCAAGTGGATATTTGGAGTGCTTAGAGGCCTTCTTTGGAAACGGGTGTATCTTCACATAAAAAGCAGACAGAAGTATTCTCAGAAACTTCTTTGTGATGTCTGCACTCAACTCACAGAGTTGAAACTGCCTTTTGATAGAGCAGTTTTGAAACACTCTTTTTGTAGTATTTGCAAGTGGATATTTAGAGCGCTTTGAGGCCTATGGTAGAAAAGGAAATAACTTAATATAAAAACTAGACAGAATCATTCTCAGAAACTACTATGGGATGTGTGATTTCAACTCACAGAGTTTAACCTTTCTTTTGATAGAGCAGTTTTGAAACACTCTTTTTGTAGAATTTGCAAGTGTATATTAAGATTGCTTTGAGGTCTATTATAGAAAAGGACATATCTTCACATTAAAAACTAGATGGAAGCATTCTCAGAAACTACTTTGTGATGTTTGCATTCAACTCACAGAGTTGAACATTCCTCTTGATATAGCAGTTCTGAAACACTCTTTTTGTAGAATCTGCAAGTGGATATTTGGACTTCTTTGAGGCCTTCGTTGGAAATGGGATTTCTTCATATAAAACTAGACGGAAGAATTCTCAGAAACTTCTTTGTGATGTGTTCATTCAACCCACAGAGTTGAACCTTCCTTTTGATAGGGCAGTTTTGAAACACTCTTTTGGTAGAATTTGCAAGTGCATATTTGGAGCGCTTTGAGGCGTTCTTTGGAAACGGGAGTATCTTCACATAAAAAGTAGACAGAAGTATTCTCAGAAACAACTTTGTGATGTCTGCACTCAACTCACCGAGTTGAAGCTTCCTATTGATAGAGCAGTTTTGAAACACTCTTTTTGTAGAATTTGCAAGTGGATATTTAGAGCTCTTTGGGGTCTACGGTAGAAAAGGAAATATCTTCATAGAAGAACTACACAGAAGCATTCTCAGAAACTACTTTGTGATGTGTGCATTCAACTCACAGAATTTAACTTTTCTTTTGATACAGCAGTTTTGAAACACTCTTTTTGTAGAATTTGCAGGTGTATATTTAGAGGGCTTTGAGGCCTCTGGTAGAAAAGGAAATATCTTCAAATAAAAACTAGACAGAAGCATTCTCAGAAACTTCTTTGTGATTTGTGTATTCAACTCACAGTTTTGATCCTTCCTTTTGATAGAGCAGTTTTGAAACACTCTTTTTGTAGAAACTGCAAGTGGAAATTTGGAGTGCTTTGAGGCCAACGGTGGAAACGGGAATATCTTCACATAAAAAGTAGAAAGAAGCATTCTCAGAAACTACTTTGTGATGTGTGTATTCACCTCACAGAGTTGAACCTTCCTTTTGATAGAGCAGCTTTGACACAGTCTTTTTGTAGAATCTGCCAGTGGACAGTTGGAGCGCGTTGAGGCCTTTGGTGGAAATGGGAATATCTTCACATAAAAACTAGACAGAAGCATTTTCAGAAACTTCTTTGTAATGTGTGCATTCAACTCACAGAGATGAACTTTCCTTTTGATAGAGCAGTTTTGAAAACCTTTTTTTATAGAATCTGCAAGTGGATATTTGGAGCTCTTTGAGGCCTTCGGTGGAAACGGGAATATCTTCACCTAAAAAGTAGACAGAGGGATTCTCATCAACTTCTTTGTTATGTGTGCATTCAACTCACAGAATTGAACCTTTCTTTTGATAGAGCAGTTTTGAAACACTCTTTTTCTAGAATCAGCAAGTGAATATTTGGAGCGCTTTGAGGCGTATGGTGGAAAAGGATATATCTTCACATAAAAACTACACAGAAGCATTCTCTGTAACCTCTTTGTGTAGTGTGCATTCAACTCAAAGGGTTGAACCTTTCTTTTGATGGAGCAGTTTTGAAACGCTCTTTTTGCAGAATCTGCAATTGGATATTTGGAGCTCTTTGAGGCCTGTCGTTGAAAAGGAAATATCTTCACATGAAACTAGACAGAAGCATTCTCCGAAACTTCTTTGTGATGTGTGCATTCAACACACCGAGCTGAACCTTTCTTTTTATAGAGCAGTTTTGAAACACTCTTTTTGTAGAGTCTGAAAGTGGATATTTGGAGCGCTTTGAGGCCTATAGTTGAAAAGGAAATATCTTCACATAAAAACTAGACAGGAGCATTCTCTGAAACTTCTTTCTGATGTGTGCAACTCACAGAGTTGAAACTTTCTTTTGAGAGAGCAGTTTAGTAACACTCTTTTTGTAGAATCTGCAAGTGGATATTTTGTTTCCTTTGAGGCCTTCGTTGGAAAACAAAATATCTTCACTTAAAAACTAGACAGAAGCATTCTCAGAAACTACTTTGTGATGTGTGCATTCAACTCACAGGGTTGAAGCTTTCTTTTGATAGAGCAGTTTTGAAACACTCTTTTTGTAGAATCTGCAAGTGGATATGTTGTTCCCTTAGAGGCCTATCTTGGAGAACACAATATCTTCACAGAAAAACAAGGCAGAAGCATTCTCAGAAACTACTTTGTTGTATGTACATTCAACTCATAGAGTTGACCCTTTCTTTTGCTAGAGCAATTCTGGAACACTCTTTTTACAGAATCTGCAAGTGGATATTTGGTTCCCTTTGAGGCCTATTTTGGGAAATGAAATATCTTCACATAAATACTAGACAGAAGCAGTCACCGAAACTTGTTTGTGATGTGTGCATTCAATTCACGGAGTTGAACCTTTCTTTGGATAGGGCAGTTGAGAAACCCTTTTTTTGTAGAATCTGCAAGTGGACATTTGGAGCACTTTGAGGCCTGTGGTGGAAAAGGAAATATCTTCACATAGAAACTAGATTGAAGCATTCTCAGAAACTTCTTTGTGATGTGTGCATTCAACTTACAGAGTTGAACACTCCTTTTGACAGAGCAGTTATGAAACACTCTTTTTTGTAGAATCTGCAAGTCGATATTTGGAGCGCTTTGAGGCCTATGGCGGAAATGGGAATATCTTCACATTAAAACTAGACAGAAGCTTTCTCCAAAACTTCTTTGTGATGTGCACATTCAGCTCACAGGGTTGAAGCTTTCTTTTAATAGAGCAGTTTTGAAACACTCTTTTTGTAGAATCTGTAAGTGGATATTATGAGTGCTTTGAAGCCTATGGTGGAAAAGGGAATATCTTCACATAAAAACCAGACAGAAGCATTCTCTGAAACTTCTTTTTGATGTGTGCAATCAACTCACAGAGTTGAACCTTTCTTTTGATAGAGCAGTTTTGAAACACTCTTTTTGTAGAATCTGCAAGTGGATATGTTGTTCCCTTAGAGGCCTGTGATGGAGAACGCAATATCTTCACAGAAAAACAAGACAGAAGCATTCTCAGAAACTTCTTCGTTGTATGTACATTCAACTCACAGAGTTGACCCTTTCTTTTGCTAGAGCAATTTTGAAACACTCTTTTTACAGAATCTGCAAGTGGATATTTTGTTCCCTTTGAGACCTATTTTGGGAAATGAAATATCTTCACATAAATACTAGACAAAGCATTCACCGAAACTTCTTTGTGATGTGTGTATTCAACTCATAGAGTTGAACCTTTCTTTGGATAGGGCAGTTGAGAAACCCTTTTTTTGTAGAATCTGCAAGTGGACATTTGGAGCACTTTGAGGCCTGTGGTGGAAAAGGAAATATCTTCACATAGAAACTAGATTGAAGCATTCTCAGAAACTTCTTTGTGATGTGTGCATTCAACTTACAGAGTTGAACACTCCTTTTGACAGAGCAGTTATGAAACACTCTTTTTGTAGTATCTGCAAGTCGATATTTGGAGCGCTTTGAGGCCTATGGCAGAAATGGGAATATCTTCACATTAAAACTAGACAGAAGCTTTCTCCAAAACTTCTTTGTGATGTGTGCATTCAACTCAGAGTTGAACCTTTCTTTTGATAGAGAAGTTTTGAAACATTCTTTTTGTAGATTCTGCAAGTGGATATTTGGAGCGCATTGAGGCCTATGGTGGAAAAGGAAATATCTTCACATAAAAACTAGACAGAAGCATTTTCCGAAACTTCTTTGTGATGTGTGCATTGAACACACAGAGTTGAAACTTTCTTTGGACAGAGAAGTTTTGAAACCCTCTTTTTGTAGAATCTGCAAGTGGATGTTTTGTTCCCTTTGAGGCCTATGTTGGGAAATGAAATATCTTCACATAAAAACTAGACAGAAGCACTCTCAGAAACTTCTTTGAGATGTTTGCATTCAACTCACAGAGTTGATACTTTCTTTTGAGAGAGCCATTTTGAAACACTGTTTTTGTAGAATCTGCAAGTGGATATTTGGAGCGCTTTGAGGCCTATGGTGGAAAAGCAAATATCTTCACAGAAAAACTAGACAGAAGGATTCTCTGAAACTTCTTTGTGATGTGTGCATTAAACTCACAGAGCTGAACCTTTCTTTTGATAGAGCATTTTTGAAACACTCTTTTTGTGGAATCTGCAAGTGGATATTTGGATGGCCTTGAGGCCTATGGTGAATAAGGAAATATCTTCACATAACAACTAGACAGAAGCATTCTCCATAACTACTTTGTGATGTGTGCATTCAACTCATACAGTTGAACCTTTCTTTGGATAGAGCAGTTTTGAAACACTCCTTTTGTAGCATTTGCAAGGGGATATTTGGAGGGCTTTGAGGCCTATGGTGGAAAAGCAAATATCTTCACATAAAAATTAGACAGAAGGATTCTCAGAAATTTCTTTGAGATGTGTGCATTCATCTCACAGAGTTGAACCTTTCTTTTGAGAGAGCAGTTTTGAAACACTCTTTTTCTACAATCTGCAATTTGGTAATTGGAGCACTTTGAGGCCTATGGTGGAAAAGGAAATATATTCACATAAAACCCAGACAGAAGCATTATCCATAACTTCTTTGTGGTGTGTGCATTCAACTCACAGATTTGAACGTTTCTTTTGATTGAGCAGTTTTGGAACACTCTTTTGGTAGAATCTGCAAGTGGATATTTAGTTCCCTTTGAGGCCTATGTTGGAAAATGAAATATCTTCACATAAACACTAGACAGTAGCATTCGCAGAAACTTCTTTGTATTCTGTGCATTCAACTCACAGAGATGAAACTTTCTTTTGATAGAGTATTTTTGAAACACTCTTTTTGTAGAATCTGCAAGTGGATATTTGGATCGCTTTAAGGCCTATGGTGGAAAAGGAAATACCTTCACATAAAAACTAGACGGAAGCGTTCTCAGAAACTTCTTTGTGATGTGTGCATTGAACTCACAAAGTTGATCATTTCTTTTCATAGAGCAGTTTTGAAACACTGTGTTCGTAGAATCTGCAAGTGGATATTGGGAGCGCTTTGAGGCCTATGTTGGAAAAAGAAATATCATCACATAAAAACTAGACAGAAGCATTCACCATCACTTCTTTGTGTTGTGTGCATTCAAATCACAGAGTTGAACCTTTCTTTTGATAGAGCAGCTTTGAAACCCTATTTTTGTATAATGTGCAAGTGGATATTTGGAGTGCTTTGAGGCCTATGATAGAAAAGGAAATATCTTCATATAAAAACTAGACAGAAACATTATCCGAAACTCCTTTGTGATGTGTGCAATCAACTCACAGAGTTGAACCTGTCTTTTGATTGAGCAGTTTTGAAACACTCTTTTTTGCATAATCTGCCTGTGGATATTTGTACTGCTTTGAGGCCTTTGGTGGAAAAGGAAGTATCTTTCCATAAAAACTAGAGAGAAGAATTCTCAGATTCTTCTTTGTGATGTCTGCATTCAACTCACAGATTTGAACGTTTCTTTTGACTGAGCAGTTTGGAAATACTCTTTTTGTAGTATCTGCAAATGTTTATGTGGAGCACTTTGAGGCCTGTAGCTGAAAAGGAAATGTCTTCACATAAAAACCAGAAAGAAGCATTCTGAGAAACTTCTTTGGATGAGTGCATTCATCTCACAGAGTTGAATCTATCTTTTATTTGAGCAGTTTTGAGAAACTCTTTTTTTAGAATCTGCAAGTGAATATTTGGAGCGCCTTGGGTCTTATGGTGGGAAAGGAAATATCTTCACATAAAAACTAGACAGAGGCATTCTGAGAAGTGTCTTTGTGATGTGTGCATTCATCTCACAGAGTTGAACCACTCTTTTGACTGAGCAGTTTTGAAACACTCTTTTTGTAGAATCTGCATGTGAATATTTGGAGCGCTTTGAGGCCTATGCTTGAAAATGAAATATCTTCACATAAAAACTAGACAGAAGCATTCTCAGAAACTTCTTTGTGAAGTGTGCATTGAACTTACAAAGTTGATCGTTTCTTTTGATAGAGCAGTTTTGAAACACTCTTTTCGTAGAATCTGCAAGTGGATATTGGGAGCGCTTTGAGGCCTATGTTGGAAAAAGAAATGTCTTCACATAAAAACTAGACAGAAGCATTCACCGTCACTTTTTTGTGTTGTGTGCATTCAAATCACAGAGTTGAACCTTTCTTTTGATAGAGCAGCTTTGAAACCCTATTTTTGTATTATGTGCAAGTGGATATTTGGAGGGCTTTGAGGCCTATGATAGAAAAGGAAATATCTTCATATAAAAACTAGACAGAAACATTCTCAGAAACTACTTTGTGATGTTTGCATTCAACTCACAGAGTTGAACCCTTTTTTTGATAGAGCAGTTTTGAAACATTCTTTTTGTAGAATCTGCAAGTGGTTATTTGGAGTGCTTTGAGGCCTCTGGTAGAAAAGGAAATTTCTTCATATAAAAACTAGACAGCAGCATTCTCAGAAACTACTTTGTGATGTTTGCATTCAACTCACAGTGTTGAACATTCCTTTTGATAGAGCATTTTTGAAACACTCTTTTTGCAGAATCTGCAAGTAGATACTTGGACCGCTTTGAGGCCTTCAGTGGAAATGGGAATATCATCACATAAAAACTAGACAGAAGCATACTCAGAAACTTCTTTGTGATGAGTTCATTGAACTCACAAAGTTGAACCTTTCTTTCGATATACCAGTTTTGAAACACTCTTTTTGTAGAATCTGCAAGTGCACATTTGGAGCGCTTTGAGGCCTGTAGTGGAAAAGGAAATATCCTCACAAAGAAACGAGACAGAAGCATTCTCAGAAACTTCTTTGTGTTGTGTGCATTCAACTCACAGAGTCGAATCTTCCTTTTGATAGAGCAGTTTTTAGACACTCTTTTTGTAGAATCTGCAAGTGGGTATTTGGAGAGCTTTGAGGCCTATGGTGGAAACGGGATATCTTCACAGAAAAACTAGACAGAAGCATTCTCAGAAACCACTTTGTGATGTGTGCATTCAACTCACAGAGTTGAACCTTCCTTTTGATAGAGCAGTTTTGACACAGTCTTTTTGTAGAATCTGCAAGTGGACACTTGGAGCGCGTTGAGGACTTTGGTGGAAATGGGAATATCTTCACATAAAAACTAGACAGAAGCATTCTCAGAAACTTCTTTGTTATGTGTGCATTCAACTCACAGAGTTGAACTTTTCTTTTGACAGAGCAGTTTTGAAACACTTTTTTGTATAATCTGCAAGAGGATATTTTGTTCCGTTTGAGGCCTAAGTTGGAAAAAGAAATATTTTCACATAAAAACTAGACAGAAACATTCTCTGAAACTCCTTTGTGATGTGTGCAATCAACTCACAGAGTTGAACCTGTCTTTTGATTGAGCAGTTTTGAAACACTCTTTTTTGCATAATCTGCCTGTGAATATTTGTACTGCTTTGAGGCCTTTGGTGGAAAAGGAAGTATCTTTCCATAAAAACTAGAGAGAAGAATTCTCAGATTCTTCTTTGTGATGTCTGCATTCAACTCACAGATTTGAACGTTTCTTTTGATTGAGCAGTTTGGAAATACTCTTTTTGTGGTATCTGCAAATGTTTATGTGGAGCACTTTGAGGCCTGTAGCTGAAAAGGAAATATCTTCACATAAAAACCAGAAAGAAGCATTCTGAGAAACTTCTTTGTGATAAGTGCATTCATCTCACAGAGTTGAATCTATCTTTTATTTGAGCAGTTTTGAAAAACTCTTTTTTTAGAATCTGCAAATGAATATTTGGAGCGCCTTGAGTCTTATGGTGGGAAAGGAAATATCTTCACATAAAAACTAGACAGAAGCATTCTGAGAAACATTTTTGTGATGTGTGCATTCATCTAACAAGGTTGAACCTTTCTTTTCATTGAGCAGTTTTGAAACACTCTTTTTTGTAGAATCTGCAAGGGGATATTTGGAGCACTTTGGGGCCTATGGTGGAAAAGGAAATATCTTCTCATAAAACCTAGACAGAAGCATTCTCAGATACTTCTTTGTGATGTGTGCATTCAACTCAAAGAGTTGAAGCGTTCTTTTTATTGAGCAGTTTGAAAACATTCTGTTTGTAGTATCTGCAAATGGATATGTGGAGTGCTTTGAGGCCTACAGCTGAAAAGGAAATATCTTCACATAAAAACTAGATAGAAGCATTCTCAGAAACTTCTTTGTGATGATTGCATTCATCTCACGGAGTTGAACCTTTCTTTTGAGCAGTTTTGAGAAACTCTTTTTGTAGGATCTGCAAGTGGATATTTGGAGCGCTTTGAGGCCTATGTTGGAAAAGAAAATATCTTCCCTTAAAACTAGACGGAAGCATTCTGAGAAACTTGTTTGTGATGTGTGCATTCATCTCACAGAGTTGAACCTTTCTTTTGATTGAGCAGTTTTGAAACACTCTTTTTGTAGAATCTGCAAGTGGATATTTGGAGCACTTTGAAGTCTATGGTTGTAAAGGAAATATCTTCACATAAAAGCTTGACAGAAGCATTCTCAGATACTACTTTGTGATGTGTGCATTCAACTCACAGAGCTGAACCTTTCTTTTGATTGAGCAGTTAGAAGACACTCTTTTTGTGGTATCTGCAAATGGATATTTGGAGCGCTTTGAGGCCTATAGCTGAAAAGTAAATACCTTCTCATAAACACTAGACAGAATCTTTCTCAGAAACTTCTTTGTAATATGTGCATTCTACTCACAGTGTTGAAACTCAGTTTTCATTGGGCAGTATTGAAACACTCTTTTTGTGGAATCTACAGATGGATATTTGGAGCACTTTGAGACCTATAGAAGAAAAGGAAATATCTTCATGTAAAAACTATACTGAAGCATTCTCAGAAATTTATTTGTGATGTGTGCGTTCAACTCACAGGGTTGAACTTTCTTTTGATAGAGCAGATTTGAAACACTCTTTTTGTAGAATCTGAGAGTGGATATTTGGAGCGCCTTCAGACCTAAGTTGGAAAAGCAAATACCTTCACATAAAACTAGACGGAAGCATTCTCAGATACTCCTTTGTGATGTGTGCATTTAACTCACAGATTTGAACTTTTCTTTTCATTGAGCAGTTGGAAAACACTATTGTGTTCCTATCTGCAAATAGATATTTGGAATGCTTTGAGGCTGTAATTGAAAAGAAAATATCTTCACATAAATCTAGAAAGAAGCATTCTCAGAAACTTCTTTATAATGTGTGCATTCTACTCACAGAGTTGGACCTTTCCTTTGGTTGAGCATTTTTGAAACACTATTTTTGTAGTATCTGCATGTGGATATTCCGAGTGCTTTGAGGCCTATGGTGAAAAAGCAAATATCTTCACATAAAAATTAGACATAAGCATTCTCAAATACTTCTTTGTGATGTGTGTATTCAGCTCACAGAGTTGAACGTTTCTTTTGATTGAGCAGCTTTGAAACACTCTTTTTGTAGTGTCTGCAAGTGGATATTTGGAGCGCTTTGAGGCCTATGGTGTAAAAGGAAATATCTTCACATAAAAACTAGACAGAAGCATTCTCTGAAACTTCTTTGTGTCGTGTGCATTCAACTCATGGAGTTGAATCTTTCTTTTGACAGAGCAGTTTTGAAACACTTTTTTTGTGGAATATGCAAGTGGATATTTAGAGCACTTTGATGCCTATGGTGGAAAAGGAAATATCTTCCCATAAAACCTAGACAAAAGCATTCTCAGATACTTCTTTGTGATGTGTGCATTCAACTCACAAATTTGAACATTTCTTTTCATTGAGCAGTATTGAAACACTCTTTTTGTAGAATCTACAAATGGATATTTGGAGCCCTTTGAGGCTTATGGTGGAAAAGGAAATATCTTCACATAAAAACTAGAAGAAGCATTCTCAGAAATTTCTTTGTGATGTGTGCATTCAACTCACAGAGTTGAACCTTTCTTTTGATAGAGCAGATTTGAAACACTCCTTTTGTAGTATCTGAATATGGATATTTGGAGCGCTTTCAGGCCTATGTTGGAAAAGCAAATACCTTCACATAAAAATAGACAGAAGCATTCTCAGATACTTCTTTGTGATGTGTGCATTTAACTCACTGAGTTGAGCTTTTCTTTTCATTGAGCAGTTGGAAAACACTATTTTGGTCCTATCTGCAAATGGATATTTGCAACGCTTTGAGGCCTATAGCTGAAAAGGAAATATCTTCACATAAATCTAGAAAGAAGCATTCTCAGAAACTTCTTTGTAATGTGTGCATTCTACTCACAGAGTTGAACCTTTACTTTGTGCACTTACGAAACACTCTTTTTGTAGAATCTGCAAGTGGATATTTGGAGCACTGTGAGGTCTATGGTTGTAAAGGAAATATCTTCACATAAAAGCTTGACAGAAGCATTCTCTGATACTTCTTGGTGAAGTGTGCGTTCAACTCACAGAGTTGAAACTTTCTTTTGATTGAGCACTATGAAACCATTCTTTTTGTAGTATCTGCAAATTGATATTTGGAGCACTTTGAGGCCTACAGCTGAAAAAGAAATCGCTTCTCATAAACACTAGACAGAAGCATTCTCAGAAACTTCTTTGTAATGTGTGCATTCTACTCACAGTGTTGAAACTAACTTTTCATTGAGCAGTATTGAAACACTCTTTTTGTAAAATCTACTAATGGATATTTGGAGCGCTTTGACGCCTATGGTGGGAAAGGAAATATCTTCATATAAAAACTATACTGAAGCATTCACAGAAATTTCTTTGGGATGTGTGCATTCAACTCACAGAGTTGAACATTTCGTTTGATTGAGCAGCTTCGAAACATTCTTTTTGAAGAATCTGCAAGTGGATATTTGAAGCGTTTTGGGTCCTATAGCTGAAAGGGAAATATCTTCCCATAAAAACTAGGCAGAAGCATTCTGAGCAACTTCTTTGTGATTACTGCATTCATCTCACAGAGTTGAACCTTTCTTTTGATTGAGCAGTTTTGAAACACTCTTTTTGTAGAATCTGCAAGTGGATATTTGGAGCGCTATGAGTCCTATGGTGGAAAAGAAAATATCTTCACATAAAACCCAGACAGAAGCAATCTCAGATGCGTCTTTGTGTTGTGTGCATTCATCTCACAGAGTTGATCCTTTCTTTTGACTGAGCAGTTTGGAGACACTCTTTTTGTAGAATCTGCAAGTGGATATTTGGAGCGCTTTGAGGCCTATGGTGGATAAGGAAATATCTTCACATAAAACCCAGACAGAAGCATTCTCAGAAACTTCTTTGTGATGTCTACATTCATCACACAGAGTTGAAGATTTCCTTCGATTGAGCAGTTTTGAGACACTCTTTTTGTAGAATCTTCATGTGAATAATTGGTACTCTTTGAGTCCTACAGTGGAAAAGGAAATATATGCACATAGAACTAGACAGAAGCATTCTCTGATAATTCTTTGTGTTGTGTGCATTCAACTCACAGGGTTGAAACTTTCTTTTGATAGAGCAATTTGAAAACACTCTTTTTGTACTGTCTGCAAATGGATATTTGCAGCGCTTTGAGGCCTATGGTGGAAAAGGAAATATCTTCACATAAAAACTAGACCGAAGCATTCTCCGAAACTTATTTTTGATCTGCTCATTCAACTCAGAGAGTTGAACCTTTCTATTGATCGAGCAGTTTTGAAACATTCTTTTTGTAGTGTCTGCAAGTGCATATTTGGAGCTCTTTGAGTCCTATAGCTGAAAGGGAAATATCTTCACATAAAAACTAGACAGAAGCATTCTGAGAAACTTCTTTGTGATGAGTTCATTCATCTCGCACAGCTGAACCTTTCTTTTGATTGAGCAGTTTGGAAACACTATTTTTGTAGTATCTGCAAGTGGATATTTGGAGCGTATTGAGGCCTGTGGTGCAAAAGAAATATCTTCACATAAAAACCAGACAGAAGAGTTCTCAGATACCTCTATGTGATGTGTGCATTGAACTCAGAAAGTTGAACCTTTCTTTTCATTGAGCAGTTTGAAAACACACTTTTTGTAGTATCTACAAATGGATATTTGGAGCACTTTGATGCGTATAGCTGAAAAGGAAATATCTTCACATAAAAAGTAGACAGAAACATTCTCAGAAACTTCTTTGTAATATCTGCATTCTACTCACAGAGTTAATCCTTTCTTTTGATGGAGCAGTTTTGAAACACTCTTTTTGTAGAATCTGCAAGTGGATATTTTGAGCACTTTGAGGCCTATGGTGGAAAAGAAAATGTCTTCACATAAAAACTAAACAGTGGCATTCTCAGAACATTCTTTGAGATATGTGTATTCTACTCACAGAGTTGAACCTTTCTTTTGATTAAGCAGTTTGGAAACACTCTTTTTGTAAAATCTGCAAGTGAATATTTGAGTGCCTTAAGTCCTATAGCTGAAAGGGAAATATCTTCACATAAAAAATAGACAGAAGCATTCTGAGAAACTTCTTTGAGATGACTGCGTTCATCTCACAGAGTTGAAACTTTCTTTTGATTGAGGAGTTTTGAAACACTCTTTTTGTAGAATCTGCAAGGGGATATTTGGAGCTCTTTGAGGCCTATAGCTGAAAAGGAAATATCTTCACATAAAAACTAGACAGAAGCATTCTGAGAAACTTTTTTAGGATGAGTGCATTTATCTCAAGGAGTTGAAAGTTTCTATTGATTGAGCAGTTTTGAAACACTCTTTTGTAGGATCTGCAAGTGCATATTTGGAGCACTTTGAGGCCTATGGTGGAAAACGAAATATCTTCACATAAAACCTAGATAGAAGAATTCTCAGATACTTCTATGTGATGTGTGCATTCAGCTTACAGAGATGAACCATTCTTTTGACTGAGCAGTTTGGAAACACTCTTTTTGTAGTATCTGCAAATGGTTATGTGGAGTGCTTTGATGCCTGCAGCTGAAAAGGAAATATCTTCACATAAAAACTAGACAAAAGCATTCTGAGAAACTTCTTTGTGATGAGTGTATTCATCTGACAGATTTGAAACTTTCTTTTGATTGAGCAGTTTCCAGAATCTCTTTTTGTAGTATCTGCATGTGCATATTTGGAGTGCTTTGAGGCCTATGTTGGAAAAGGAAATATCTTCACATAAAAACTAGACAGAAGCATTCTGAGAAACTTCTTTGTGATGTGTGCATTCATCTCACAGAGTTGAACATTTCTTTTCATTGAGCAGTTTTGAAACACTCTTTTTGTAGAATCTGCAATTGGATATTTGGAGCACTTTGAGGCCTACTGTGGAAAAGGAAATACCTTCAAATAAAACCTAGACAGAAGCATTGTCATATATTTCTTTGTGATGTGTGCATTCAACTCACAGAGTTGAACCTTTCTTTTGATTGAGGAGTTTGGAAACACTGTTTTTGTAGTAACTGTAAATGGATATGTGGAGCATTTTCAGGCCTATAGCTGATAAGGAAATATCTTCACACAAAAACTAGAAAGAAGTATTCTGAGAAACTTCTTTGTGATGAATGCATTCATCTCACAGAGTTGAAACCTTCTTTTGATGGAGCTGTTTTGACAAACTGTTTTTGTAGAATCTGCAAGTGGATATTTGGAGTGCTTTGAGGCTTATGGTGGAAAAGGAAATATCTTCATATAAAAACTAGACAGAAAAATTCTGAGAAACTGCTGTGTGATGTGTGCATTCATCTCACAGAGTTGAAATTTTCTTTTGATTGAGCAGTTTTGAACACTCTTTTTGTAGAATCTGCAAGTGGATATTTGGAGTGCTTTGCGTCCTATAGCTGAAAAGGAAATATATTCACATAAAAAAGAGACAGAAGAACTCTCAGAAACTACTTTGTAATGTGTGCATTCTACTCAACGAGTTTAAACTTTCTTTTGATAGAGCAGTTTGGAAACACTCTTTTTGTAGTATGTGCTAGTGGATATTTGCAGTGCTTTGAGGCCTATGGTGGAAAAGGAAATATCTTCAGGTAAAAACTAGACAGAAGCATTCTCAGAAACTTCTTTGTGATGTGTGCATTCATCTCACAGAGTTGAAACTTTCTTTTGATTGAGCAGTTTTGATGCACTCTATTTGTAGAATCTGCAGGTGGATATTTGGTGAGCTTTGAGTCCTATAGCTGAAAAAAAATGTCTTCACATAAAAGCTAGACAGACATATTCTGAGAAATTTCTTTGGATGAGTGCATTCGTCTCACAGAGTTGAAGCTTTCTTTTGATTGAGCAGTTTTGAGACATTCTTTTTGTAGAGTCTGCAAGGGGATATTGGGAGCTCTTTGAGGCCTATTGTGGAAAAGGAAATATCTTCACATAAAACCTAGATAGAAGCATTCCCAGATACTTCTTAGTGATATGTGCATTCAACTCACAGAATTGAAACTTTCTTTTGATTAAGCAGTTTGGAAACACTCTTTTTGAAGTATGTGCAAATGGATATGTGGAGAGCTTTGAGACCTATAGCTGAAAAGGAAGTATCTTAACATAAAAACTAGACAGAGGCATTCTCAGAAGCTTCTTTGTGATGAGTGCATTCATCTCACAGAGTTGAACCTCTCTATTGTTTGAGCATTTTTGAGAAACTCTTTCTGTAGAATCTGCAAGTGGATATTTGGAGCGCTTTGAGGCTCATGGTGAAAAGGCAAATATCTTCCCAAAAAAACTAGACAGAAGCATTCTGAGAAACTTCTTTGTGATGTGTGCATTCAACCCACAAAGTTGAAACTTTCTTTTGATTGAGCACTTTGAAAACACTCTTTTTGTAGAATCTGCAAGTGGATGTTTGGAGTGCTATGATGCCTAAAGCTGAAAAGGAAATATCTTCACATAAAAACTAGACAGAAGTATTGTGAGAAACTTCTTGGTGATGAGCTCATTCATCTCACAGAGTTGAACCTTTCTTTTGATTGAGCTGATTTGAAATACTCTTTTTGTAGAATCTGCATGGGGATATTTGGAGGGCTTTGAGGCCTATGGTGGAAGAAGAAATATCTTCACATAAAACCTAGACAGAAGCATTCCCAGGTACTTCTTGTGATGTGTACATTCGATTCACAGAGTTGAACCTTTCTTTTGATTGAGCAGTTTGGAAAAACTCTTTATGTTCTATCTGAAAATGGATATGTGGAGCGCTTTGAGGCCTATAGAAGAAAAGGAAATAATTTCACATAAATACTAAACAGAAGCATTCTGAGAAACTTCTTTATGATGACAGCATTCATCTCACAGAGCTGAAACGTTCTTTTGATTGAGCAGTTTTGAAAAACTCTTTTTGTAGAATTTGCATGGGGATATTTGGAGGGCTTTGAGGCCTTTGGTGGAAAAGGAAATATCTTCACATAAAACCCAGACAGAAGCATTCCCAGGTACTTCTTCGTGATGTGTGCATTCAATTCACAGAGTTGAACCTTTTTTTGATTGAGCAGCTTGGAAAAAACTCTTTATGTTCTATCTGCAAATGGATATGTGGAGCACTTTGAGGCCTATAGATGAATAGGAAATATCTTCACATAAATACGAGATGTAAGCATGCTCAGAAACTTGTTTGTGATGTGTGCACTTAACTGTCAGTTTTGAACCTTTCTTTTGAGTGAACAGTTGGAAGCACTCTTTGTGTAGTATCTGCAAATGCATATTTGGAGCACTTTGAGCCCTATAGCTGAAAAGGAAATATCTTCACATGAAAACTAGACAGAAGCATTCTGAAAATCTTCCTTGTGGTGTGTGCATTCATGTCACAGAGTTGAACCTCTCTTTTGATTGAGCAGTTTGGATACTTTTTGATATGTGCCTTCATCTTACAGAGTTGAAACTTTCTGTTGATTGAGGCGTTTGGAAACAGTCTTTTTCTAGAATCTGCAGAGGGATATTTGTGAGTGGTTTGAGGACTGCGATGAGAAAGTAAATATCTCCACATAAAAAGAAGTCAGAATCTTTCTGAGAAACTTATTTGTCTTGTGTGCATTCATCTCACAGATTTGATGCTTTCTTTTGATTGAGCAGTTTGGAAGTCTTTTTGCAGATTCTGCATAGTGATATTTGTGAGCCATTTTTGGCCTATGGTAAAAAACCAAATATCTTCACATAAAAACTAGACAAAAGCATTCTGTGAAACTTCTTTGTGATGTGTGCATTCATCTCACAGTGTTGAAGATTTTTTTTGATTGAGCTGTTTGGAAACAATCTTTTTGTAGATTCTGCATAGGTATATTTGTGAGCAGTTTGAGAACTGTGGTGAAAAAGGAATTATCTTCTCATAAAAACTAGACAGAAGCTTTCTGAGAATTTTTTTGTTGTGTGTATTCATCTCACAATGTTGAGTCTTTCTTTTCATTGAGCAGTTTGCAAACAGTCTTTTTGTATTATTGGCAAAGGTATATTTCTGAGCATTGTGATTCATATGGTGAAAAATAAATAACTTCACATTAAAAGTAGACAGAAGCATTCTGAGAAACATTTGTGATGTGTGCATTCATCTCAGAGTGTTGAATCATTCTTTTGAAAGAGCAGTTTGGATACCAACTTTTCGTAGAATCTACAAATGTATATTTGGAGTGCTTTGAGGCCTATGGTGAAAAAGGAAATATCTTCAAATAAAAACTAAACAGAAGCTTTGGGAGAAACTTCTTTGTGATGTGTGCATTCATCTCACAGAGTTGAAACTTTCTTTAAACAGAGCAGTTTTGAAACAGTCTTTTTCACATAGAAACTAGAGAGAAGATTTCCGAGAAACTGCTTTGACATGTGTGCATTCAGGTCATAGGTGTAAAAGTTTCTTTTCTTTGAGCAGTTTGGAAACTCTGTTCTTGGAGAATCTGCAAAGACATATTTGTTAGTGCATTGAAGCCTATGGTGAAAAAGGAAATATCTTCACATGAAAACTAGAAAGAAGCTTTCTGTGAAATGGCTTTGTGATGCATACATTCATCTCACAGAGGTAAACTTTCTTTTCATTGAGCAGTTTGGAAATGCTGTTCTTCTAGAATCTGCAAAGGGATATTTGGGAGACCATAGAGGCCTAGATATAAAAAGGAATTATCTTCAGATTCAAACTGGAAAGAGAGTTTCTGAGAAACTGCTTTGTGATGTGTGCATTCATCTGACAGAGTTGAACCATTATTTACTGAGCAGTTTGTAAAACGTCTTGTTGTAGAATCTGCAGAGGGATATTTCAGAGCACACTGAGGCCTATGGTGAAAAGGAAATATGTTCACAAATCAACTAGAAAGAACCTTTCTGAGAAACTGGTTTGTCAAGAGTGCATTCATCTCACAGAGGTAAACACTTTTTTCATTGAGCAGTTTGGAAACAGTCTTTTTGTGCAACCTGCAGTGGAATATTTTTGAGTGGTTTGAGAGCTATGGTGAAAAAGGAAATATCCTTACATAAAAACTAGAAAGAAGCATTCTGAGAAACTTCTTTCTGAGGTGTGCATTCATCTGACAGAGTTGAACTGTTCTTTTGATTGAGCAGTTTGCAAACAGTCTTTTTGTAGAGTCCGCAAATTTATATTTAGAGCTCTTTGAGGCCCATGGCAAAAAAGAAAATAAATTCACAGAAAAACAAGACAGAAGCTTTTTGAGAAACTCCTTTGCAACGTGTGCATTCATCTCACAGAGTTGAAGCTTTCTTTTGATTGAGCAGTTTGCAAACCTTTTTTTTGTAGAATCTGCAAAGGGATATTTTAGAGCCCTTTTAGGCCTATGGTGAAATAGGAAATATCTTCACATAAAAACTGGAAGGAGAATTCTGAGAAACTTCTTTGTGATGTGTGCATTCATCTCACAGAGTTGAAACTTTCTTTTGATTGAGCAGCTTTGGAACAGTCTTTTTGTAGAATCTGCAAATGGATATTTTGAGTACTTTCAGGCCTAAGGTGACAAAGGAAATGTCTTCACAAAAAGACTAGACAGAAGTTTTGTGAGAAAATTTTTTGTGATGTGTGCATTCATCACACAGAGTTGAAGCTTTCTTTTGATTGAGCTGTTTGGATACAGTCTTTTTGTAGATTCTGCATAGGGACATTTGTGAGTGATTTGAGGCGTATGGTGAAAAAGGAAATATCTTCACATAAAAACTAGACAGAAGCATACTGAGAAACTTCTTTTTGATGTGGGCATTCATCTCACAGAGTTGAGCCTTTCTTTTGATTGAGCAGTTTGGAAACTGTCTTTTTGTAGAATCTGCACATGGATATTTGGAACGCTTTGAGGCCTATGGTGGAAAAGGAAATATCTTCACATAAAAACTAGACAGAAGTATTCTGAAAAACTTCTTTGTGATGTGTGTATTCATCTCAAAGAGTTGAACTTTTCTTTTGATTGAGCAGTTTGGGAAAAGCCTTTTTGTACACCTGCAGAGGGATATCTGTGAGCCCTTTGAGGTCTATGGAGAAATAGGATATATCTTCACATAAAAACTAGACAGAAGGATCCTGAGAAACTTCTTTGTGATGTGTACATTCATCTCACAGACTTGAACATTTCTTTTGGTTGACCAGTTAAGAAACAGTCTTTTTGTACAATCTGGAAAGGGATATTTGTGAGCCCTTTGAGTCCCATGGTGAAATAGGAAATATATTCACAGGATAACCAGACAGAAGGATTACCAGAAACTTCTTTGTGATGTTTTCATTCACCTCAAGGAGTTGAACCTTTCTTTTGATTGAACAGTTTGGAAGCAGTCTTTTTGTAGAATCTGCAAATGGATATATTGGGTGCTTTGAGGCCTATGGTGATAAAGGAAATATCTCTTCACATAAAAACTAGATAGAAGCTTTCTGAGAAACTTCTCTGTGATCTGTGCATTCATCTCACAGATTTGAAGAATTCTTTAATTGAGCAGTTCAGAAACATTCTTTTTGTAGAATCTGCAGAGGGATATTTGTGAGCCATTTGAGACCTATGGAGAAATAGGAAATAACTTCACATAAAAACTAGACAGAGGGATTCTGAGAAACTTCTTTGTGATGTATACATTCATCTAACAGACTTGAACATTTCTGTCGATTGAGCAGTTTGGAAACAGTCTTTTTGTAGAATCTGCAGGGGGATATTTGTGAGCCCTTTGATGTCTATGGTGAAACAGGAAATATCTTCACATAAAAACTAGACAGAAGCATTCTGAGAAACTTCTTTGTGATGCATGCATTAATCTCACAAGATTAAAGCTTTCTTTTGATTGAGCAGTTTGGAACAGTATTTTGGTAGATTCTGCATAGGGATATTTATGAGTTGTTTGAGGTCTATGGTAAAAAAGGAAATATCTTCACATAAAAACTACACAGAAGCTTTCTGTGAATCTTTTTTCTGATGTTTGTATTCATTTCACAGAGCTGAACCTTTCTTTACACTGAGTAGTTTGCAAAGTCTTTTTGTACAATTTGAAAAGGGATATTTCTGAGTGTTTTGGGGCACATGGTGAAAAATAAATATCTTCACATAAAAACTAGACAGAAGCATTCTGAGAAACTTCTTTGTGATGTGTGCATTCATCTGAGAGTGTTGAACAATTCTTTTGATAAAGCAGTTTGGAAACAGTCTTTTCATAGCATCTACAAATGGATATTTGGTGCACTTTCAGACTCCTATGGAGAAACAGGAAATATCTTCCTAGAGGCCTATGGGGAAAAAGGAAATATCTTCACACAAAAACTACACAGAAGCATTCTGAGAAACTTCTTTGTGATGTGTGCATTCACCTGAGAGTGTTGAACAATTCTTTTGATAGAGCAGTTTTGAAACAGTCTTCATAGAATCCACAAATGGATATTTGGTGTGCTTTGAGGCCTATGGGGTAAAAGGAAATATCTTCACATAAAAACTAGACACAATCATTCTGAGAAACTTCTTTGTGATGTGTGCATTCATCTCACACAGTTGAAGTTTTCTTTTGATTGAGTACTTTGGAAATAGTCTTTTTGTAGAATCTGCCAAGGGATACTTGTGATCCCATTGAGGCCAATGGTGAAATAGGAAATATCTTCACATAAAAACTAGACACAATCATTCTGAGAAACTTCTTTGTGATGTGTTCATTCATGTCTCAGAGTTGAATCTTCCTTTTGATTGAGCAGTATGCAAACAGTTTTTGGTAGAGTCTGAAATTTGATATTTCAAGTGCTTTGAGGTAGATGGGGATAAAGAAAATATCTTCACATATAAACTAGACAGAAGCTTTTCGAGAAACTTCTCTGTGATGTGCGCATTCATCTCACAGAGTTGAAGCTTTCTTTTGATTGAGCAGTTTGGAAATAGATCTTTTGTAGAATCTGCAAAGGGATATTTTGGAGCCATATGAGACTTATGATGGAAAAGGAAATATCTTCACATGAAAACCAGACAGAAGCATTCTGAGAAACCTCTTTGTGATGTGTGCATTCATCTCACAGAGTTGAACCTTTCCTTTCATTGAGCAGTTTGGAAACCGTCTTTTTGTAGAATCTGCAAATGGATATTTGGAGTGCTTTGAGGCCTATGTTGTAAAAGGAAATATCTGCACAAAAAACTCCACAGAAGTTTTCTGAGAAACTTCTTTGTGATGTGTGCATTCATCTTACAGAGTTGAAGCTTTCTTTTGATTGAGCAGTTTGGAAAGAGTAGATACTGCATAGGGGTATTTTTGTAGATACTGCATAAGATTTTTGTAGATACTGCATAGGGATATTTGTGAGTGGTTTGAGGCATATGGTGAAAAAGGAAATATCTAAACATAAAAACTGGACAGAAGACTTTTGAGAAACTTCTTTGTGATGTTTGCATTCATCTCACAGAGTTGAAACTTTCTTTTGATTTATCATATTAGAAACTGTCTTTTTGTAAAATCCACAAAGGGATATTTTGAAACCATTGAGGCCTACGGTGAAACAGGAAATATCTTCTCATAAAAACTAGACAGAAGCTTTCTGACAAACTTCTTTGAGATGGATGCTTTCCTCTCATTGAGTTGAACCTTTTTTTTGATTGAGCAGTTTGGAAACATTCTTTTTGTGGACTCTGCAAAGGGATATTTTAGCGCCCTTTGAGGCCTATGGTGAAAAAGGAAATATCTTCACATAAAATCTGGACAGGAGCTTTCTGAGAAACTTCTTTGTGATGTTTGCTTTCATCTCACAGAGTTGAAACTTTCTTTAGATTGAGCATTTTGGAAACAGTCTTTTTGTAGGATCTGCAAATGATATTTTAGTGCGCTTTGAGGCCTTTTGTGAAAAAGGAAATATCTTCACATAAAAACTAGACAGAAGCTTTTTGAGAAACTTCTTTGTGATCTGTGCATTGAACTCAAAGATTTGAACCTTTCCCTGGATTGAGAAGTTTGGAAACAGTCTTTTTGTAGAATCTGCAAAGGGATATTTGAAAGGACTATAAGGCCTATCTTGAAAAAGGAAATATCCTCACATAAAAAGTAGACAGAATTTTTCTGAGAAACTTCATCATGATGTGTGCTTTCATCTCACAGAGTTGAACTTTCTTTTGATTGAGCTGTTTGGAAACAGTCTTTCTGTGGAATCTGCAGTGGAATATTTGTGAGTGGTTTGAGAGCTATGGTGAAAAAGGAAATATCCTAGCATAAAAACTAGACAGAAACATTCTAAGAAACTTCTTTTTGATTGCTGCATTCATCTCACGGAGTTGAATTTTTCTTTTGATTGAGCAGTTTGCAAACCGTCTTTTTTTAGAGTCTGCAAATTGATATTTGGAGCACTTTGAGGCCCATGGTGAAAAAGAAAATATCTTTACAGAAAAACTAGACAGAAGGTTTTGACAAACTCCTTTGTAATATATGCATTCATCTCACAGAATTGAAGCTTTCCTTTTTGAGCAGTTTGGAAACCATCTTTTTGTAGAATCTGCAAAGGGATATTATTTCAGAGCCCTTTGAGGCTTGTGGCGAAATAAGAAATATCTTCACATAAAACTGGAAGCAGCATTCTGAGAAACTTCTTTGCAATGTGTGCATTCATCTCACAGAGTTGAAACTTTCTTTTCATTCATCAGTTTTGGAACAGTCTTTTTGTAGAATCTGCAAATGGATATTTGGAGTGCTTTGGGGCCTATGGTGAAAAAGGAAATATCTTCACATAAAAACTAAACAGAAGCATTTTGAGAAACTTCTTTGTGATGTGTGCATTCATATCAGAGAGTTGAACCTTTTTTTTTTTTGATTGAGCAGTTTGGAAACAGTCTTTTCATCCACCTGCAGAGGGATACCTGTGAGCCCTTTGAGGCCTATGGAGAAATAGTAAATACATTCACATAAAAACTACACAGAAGCATTCTGAAAAACTTCTTTGTGATGTGCGCATTCATATCAAAGTGTTGAAACTGTCTTTTTATTAAGCAATTTGGAAGTATTCTTTTTGTACAATCTGCAGAGGGATATTGTGACTCCTTTGAGGCCTATGGAGAAATAGGAAATATCTTCACCTAAAAACTAGACAGAAAGAGTCTGAGAAACTGCTTTGAGATGTGTAGATTCATCCCACCGACTTGAAGATTTCTTTTGATTGAGCACTTTGGAAACAGTCCTTTTGTAGAATCTGCAAGGGGAAATTTAAGAGCCCTTTGAGGCCTATGGTGAAATAGGAAATATCTTCACATAAAAACTAGACAGAAGCGTTCTGAGAAAATTCTTTGTGATGTGCACATTCATCTCAAATGTTGAACCTTTCTTTCAATTGAGCAGTTTGGAAACAATCTTTTTGTAGAAACTGCAGAGGGACATTTGGGAGCCAGTTGAGGCCTATGGTGAAATAGGAAATATCTTCACATAAAAACTAGACAGAAGGTTTCTGAGAAACTTCTTTGTGATGTGTGCATTCATATGAAAGAGATGAACCTTACTGTTGATTGAGCAGATTGGAAACAATCTTTTTGTAGAATCTGCAGAGAGATATTAGTGAGCCCTTTGAGGCCTATGATGAAATATGAAATATCTTCTCATAAAAACTAGACAGAAGCTTTCTGAAAACCTTCTTTGTGATGGGTGCTTTCATCTCACAGAGTTGAACCTTTCTTTCTACTGAGCAGTTTTGGAAAGAGTCTTTTTATAGTATCTGCAAATGGATATTTGGAGCTCATTGAGGCCTATTATGAAAAAGGAAATATCTTCACATAAAAACTAGACAGAAGCTTTGTGAGAAACTACTTTGTGATGTGTTCTTCATCTCATAGAGCTGAACCTTTCTTTCTATTGAGCAGTTTGGAAACAGTGTTTTTGTAGAATCTGCAAATGGATATTTGGAGCACTTTGTGGCCTATGGTGAAAAAGGAAATCTCTTCACGTAAAAACCAGACAGAAGTTTTCTGAGAAACTTATTTGTGATGTGTGCTTTCATCTCACAGAGTTGAACTATTCTTTTGATTGAGCAGTTTGGAAACAGTCTTTTTATATGAACCTGAAGTGGGATATTTGGGAGTGCTTTTAGAACTATGGTGTAAAAAGAAATATCTTCACATAAAAACTAGAAAGAAGCTTTCTGAGAAACTGCTTTGTGATGTGTGTATTCGTCTCACAGAGCTAAACGATTTTTTCATTGAGCAGTTTGGAAACTCTTTTCTTCCAGAATCTGCAAAGGGATATTTGTGAGCACTTTGAGTCCTATGGTGAAAAAGGAAATATATTCACATAAAAACTAGAAAGACGTTTTCTGAGAAACTTCTTTGTGTTGCATGCATTCATCTGACAGGGTTGAACCATTCTTGTGATTGAGCAGTTTGGAAATAGTCTTTTAATAGAATCTGCAAAATAGTATTTGGGAGAATACTAAGGCCTGTGGTGAAAAGGAAATATATTCACATAAAAACTAGAAGGAAGGTTTTGAGAAACTTCTTTGTCATGTGTGCATTCATGTCACACAGGCAAACCTTTCTTTTCATTGAGCAGTTTGGAAACTCTGTTCTTGTAGAATCTTCCAAGGGATATTTATGAGTGCTTTGAGGCCTATGTTGAAAAAGGATATATGTTCATGTAAAAACTAGACAGAAGCTTCCTGAGAAACTTCTTTTTGATGTGTGCAGTCATCTCACAGTGTTGAACCATTCTTGTGATTGAGAAGCTTGGAAACAGTCTTTTCATAGAAACTGCAAAAGGATATTTAAGAATGCATTGAGGCCTATGGTGAAAAAGGAAATATCTTCACATAAAAACTAGAGAGAAGCTTTCTGAGAAACTGCTTTGTGATGTGTGCATTCATGTTACAGGGGTAAACGTTCCTTTTCATTGAGCAGTTTGGAAACTCTGTTCTTGGAGAATCTGCAAAGGCATATTTGTTAGTGCATTGAAGCCTATGGTGAAAAAGGAAATATCTTCACATGAAAACTAGAAAGAAGCTTTCTGTGAAATGGCTTTTTGATGCATGCATTCATCTCACAGAGGTAAACGTTTATTTTCATTGAGCAGTTTGGAAAGTCTGTTCTTCTAGAATCTGCAAAGGAATATTTGGGAGTGCATAGAGGCCTAGATAGAAAAAGGAAATATCTTCTGATTCAAACTGGAAAGAGAGTTTCTGAGAAACTGCTTTGTGATGTTTGCATTCATCTGACACAGTTAAACCATTGTTTTGATTGAGCAGTTTGGAAAAAGTCTTTTTGTAGAATCTGCAAGGGATATTTGGGAGTGCACTGAGACCTATGGTGAAAAGGAAATATGTTCACATAAAAAGTAGAAAGAAGCTTTCTGAGAAACTGCTTTGTCATGTGTGCATTCATCTCACAGTGCTAAACCTTTCTTTTCATTGAGCAGTTTGGAAACTCTGTTCTTGTAGAATCTGCCAAGGGATATTTGTGAGTGCTTTGAGGCCTGTGTTGAAAAAGGATATATCTTCACATAAAAACTAGACAGAATCTTTCTGAGAAACTTCTTTTTGATGTGTGCATTCATCTCACAGAGTTGAACCATTCTTGAGATAGAGCAGTTTGGAAACAGTCTTTTCATAGAAACTGCAAAGGGATATTTGGGAGCACGTTGAGGCCTATGGTGAAAAAGGAAATATCTTCACATAAAAACTAGAGAGAAGCTTTCTGAGAAACTGCTTTGTGATGTGTGCATTCATGTCATAAGGGTAAACATTTGTTTTCATTGAGCAGTTTGGAAACTCTGTTCTTCTAGAATCTGCAAAGGCATATTTGTCAGTGTGTTGAAGCCTATGCTGAAAAAGGAAATATCTTCACATAAAAACTAGAAAGAAGTTTTCTGAGAAATGGCTTTGTGATGCATGCATTCATCTCACAGAGGTAAACGTTTCTTTTCATTGAGTAGTTTGGAAATGCTGTTCTTCTAGAATCTGCAAAGGGATATTTGGGAGAGAATAGAGGCCTAGATAGAAAAAGGAAATATCTTCAGATTCAAACTGGCGAGTTTCTGAGAGACTGCTTTGTGATGTATGCATTCATCCCACAGAGTTGAACCATTATTTTGATTGAGCAGTTTGTAAAAAGTCTTTTTGTAGAATCTGCAAAGGGATATTTGGGAGTGCACTGAGGCCTATGGTGAAAAGGAAATATGTTCACATAAAAAGTAGAAAGAAGCTTTCTGAGAAACTGGTTTATCATGAGTGCATTCATCTCACAGAGGTAAACGTTTCTTTTCATTGAGCTGTTTGGAAGCTCTGTTCTTGTAGAATCTGCAAAGGGATATTTGTGAATGCTTTGTGGCCTATGTTGAAAAAGTATATATCTTCACATAAAAACTAGACAGAAGCTTTCTGAGAAACTGGTTTGTCATGAGTGTATTCATCTCACAGAGGTAAACATTTCTTTTCATTGAGCAGTTTGGAAACAGTCTTTTTGTAGAATCTGCAGAGGGATATTTAGGAGCACTTTGAGGCCTATGGTCAAAAAGGAATTATCTTCTGATACATACTAGAAAGAGAGTTTCTGAGAAACTGCTTTATGATGTGTACATTAATCTCACAGAATTGAGCCATTCTTTTGATTGAGCAATTTGGAAACACAGTGTTTGTAGAATCTGCGAAGGGATATTTTGTTTCACATGGATGCCTGTGTTGAAAAAGGAAATATCTTCCAATACATGCTAGACAGAAGCTTTCTGAGAGAATGCTTTGTAATGTGTGCATTCATCCCACAGAATTAAAAGTTTCTTTTCATTGAGCAGTTTTTAAACTCTGTTGTTCTATAATCTGCAAAAGGATATTTGGGAGTGCATTGAGGCCTATGGTTAAAAAGGAAATATCTTCCGATACAAACTAGAAATAGAGTTTTTGAGAAACTGCTTTGTGATGTGTGCATTCATCTCACATAGTTGAACAATTCTTTTGATTGAGCAGTATGGAAACACAGTGTTAGTAGAATCTGCAAAGGATTATTTGGATTTGCATTGAGGCCTGTGTTGAAAAAGGAAATATCTTCTGATACAAACAAGATGGAAGCTTTCTGAGAAACTGCTTTGTGATGTGTGCATTCATCCTACAGAGTTGAACCATTCTTTTGATGGAGCAGTTTTGAACCACTGTTTTTGGAGAATCTGCAAGGGGATATTTGGGGGCCCTCGAGTCTTATGGTGAAAAAGGAAATATCCTCACATAAAAACTAGAAAGGAGCTTTCTGAGAAACTGCTTTGTAATATGTGCATTCATCTCACAGAGTTAAACCATTCTTTTGATTGAGCAGCTTGGAAACACAGTGTTTAAAGTATCTGAGAAGGAATATTTGGATTCACCTTGAGGCCTAGGGGGCAAAAGGAAATATCTTCTGATACAAACAAGATGGAAGCTTTCTGAGAAACTGCTTTGTGATGTGTGCACTCATCCTACAGAGTTGAACCATTCTTTTGATGGAGCAGTTTTGAACCACTGTTTTTGGAGAATCTGCAAGGGGATATTTGGGGGCCCTCGAGTCTTATGGTGAAAAAGGAAATATCCTCACATAAAAACTAGAAAGGAGCTTTCTGAGAAACTGCTTTGTAATACGTGCATTCATCTCACAGAGTTAAACCATTCTTTTGATTGAGCAGCTTGGAAACACAGTGTTTGAAGTATCTGCGGAGGAATATTTGGATTCACCTTGAGGCCTAGGGGGCAAAAGGAAATATCTTCTGATACAAACTAGGCAGAAACTTTCTGGAAGACTGCTTTGTGATGTGTGCACTCATCTCACAGAGTTAAACTTTCTTTTCATTGAGCAGTTTGGAGACTCTGTTCTTGTAGAATCTGCAAAGGGATATTTGAGAGTGCATAGAGGCCTGTAGTGAAAAAGGAAATATCTTCCAATAAACTCGAAAAAGTGTTACTGAGTAACCACTTTGTGATGTGTGCATTCATCTCACCTAGTTGAACCATTATTTTGGTTGAGCAGTTTGGAAACACAGTGTTTCTAGAATCTGTGAAGGGATATTTGGAGTCACATGGAGGCCTGTGGTGAAAAAGGAAATATCTTCTGACACAAACTAGACAGAAGCTTCCTGAGAGAATGCTTTGTAATGTGTGTATTCATCCCACAGAGTTAAACATTTCTTTTCAATGATCAGTTTGGAAATTCTGTTCTTTCAGAATCTGCAAAAGGATATTTAGGAGCATATTGAGGTGTATGGTGAAAAAGGAAATATCTTCCAATACAAACTAGAAAGAGTTTCTGAGGAACTGCTTTGTGATGTGTGCATTCATCTTACAGAGTTGAACCATTCTTTCACTGAGCAGTTTGGAAACACAGTGTTTGTAGAATCTGTGAAGGGATATTTGGATTTGCATGGAGGCCTGTGGTGAAAAATGAAATATCTTCCGATACAAACTAGACAGAAATTTTGTGAGAGACGAATTTGTGAAGTGTGCATCCCTCTCACAGAGTTGAACCATTCTTTTGAAGGAGCAGTTTAGAACCACTGTTTTAGTAGAATCTGCAAAGGGATATTTGGGAGCCCTTTGAGTCTTACGGTGAAAAAGGAAATATCCTCACATAAAAACTAGAAAGGAGCATTCTGAGAAACTGCTTTGTGATATATGCATTCATTTCACAGAATTAAAACTTTCCTTTGATGGAGCATTTTGGAAACACTGTTTTTGTAGAATCTGCAAAGGGATATTTCAGAGTGCTTTCAGGCCTATGATGAAAAAGGAAATATCTTCACCTAAAAACTCATAGGAAGCTTTCTGAGAAACTGCTTTGTGATGTGTGCATTCCTCTCACAGAGTTAAACCATTCTTTTGATTGAGCAGTTTGGAACTACTGTTTTTCTAGAATCTGCAAAGGGATATTTGTGAGTGCTTTGAGGTCTATGGTGAAAAAAGAAATATTCTCACATAAAAACTAGAAAGGAGCTTTCTGAAAAATGGCTGTATGATGTGTGCATTCATCTCACAGAGCTGAACCATTCTTTTGATTGAGCAGTTTGGAAGCAGAGTGTTTGTAGAATCTGTGAAGGGATATTTGAATTTGCATGAAGGCTAGTGGTGAAAAAGGAAATATCTTCTGATACAAATTAGACAGATGCTTTCTTAGAGAATAATCTCTAATGTGTGCATTCATCCCACAGAGTTAAGCATTTCTTTTCATTGAGCAGTTTGGAAACTCTGTTGTTCTAGAATCTGCAAAGGGATATTTGGGAGTGCATTGAATCCTACTGTGAAAAAGGAAATATCTTCCAATACAAACTAAAAAAAGAGTTCCTGAGGAACTGCTTTTTGATGTGTGCATTCATCTCACAGAGTTGAACCATTCTTTCATTGAGCAGTTTGGAAACACAGTGTTTGTAGAATCTGTGAAGGGATATTTGGATTCATATGGAGGCCTGTGGTGAAAAATGAAATATCTTCCGATACAAACTAGATAGAAATTTTGTGAGAGACGAATTTGTGAAGTGTGCATTCCTCTCACAGAGTTGAACCATTCTTTTGAAGGAGCAGTTTAGAACCACTGTTTTTGTAGAATCTGCAAAGGGATATTTGGGAGCCCTTTGAGGCCTATGGTGAAAATGTAAATATCTTCATATAATAACTAGAAAGAAGCTTTATGTTAAACTTCCTTGTGATGTGTGAATTCATCTCACAGGGTTAGAATTTTCTTTTCATTCAGCAATTTGGAAACACTGTTTTTGTAGAATCTGTGAAGGGATATTTAGGAGTGCATTGAGGCCTACGGTGAAAAAGTAAACATCTTCAAATAATAATTAGACAGAAGCTTTATGGTAAACCGATTTGTGATGTCTGCTTTCATCACACAGAGTAAAAATTTCTTTTGTTTCAACGGTTTGTAAACACTGCTTTGTCCAATCTGTGAATGGACATTTGGGAGCTCTTTGAGATGAATGGAGGAAAAGTGAATATCCCAGGAAAAAAACTACATGGAAGTAATCTGAGAAACTGATTTGTGATGTATGCATTCATCTCGCATATTTAAACCTTTCTTTTCATTCAGCAGTTTGCAAAACCTTTTTTGTAAAATCTGCAAAGGGATATTTGGGAGACCTTTGAGTCCTACAGTGAAAAAGTCAATATCTTCACATAAAAACCAGAAAGAAGCTTTCTGAGAGACAGCTTTGTGATTTGTGCATTCATCTCACAGAGTTAAACATTTCTTTTGATTCAACAGTTTTGAAACACTATTTTTGTCCATTCTGTGAAGGTATATTTGGTAGCCCATTGAGGCCTATGGTGAAAAAGGAAATATCTTCAAACCATAACTAGATAGAAGCTTTCTGAGGAACTGCTTTGTGATGTGTGTTTTCATCTCACAGAGATAAAGATTCTTTTGTTTCAATAGTTTGGAAACATTGTTTTTGTCCATTCTACCAATGTCCATTTTGGAGATGATTGACTCCAAGGAAAAAAAGTGAATATCCCAGGATAAAAAAGTCAAGGAAGCCAGGTGAGAAACCGCTATGTGATGTATGCATTCATCTTGAGAGTTAAACCTTCCTTTTCATTCAGCTGTTTGGAAACACTGTTTTTGTAGAATCTTGGAAGTGATATTTGGGAGTGCAAGGAGACCTATGGTGAAAAAGAAAATATCTTAAGATAAAAACTAGAAATAAGCTTTCTGAGAAACCGTTCTGTGATGGGTGCATTCATCTCACAGAGGTAAACCTTTCTTTCGATCCAGCACTTTGGAAACACTGATTTTGCAGAATCTGCGAAGGGATATTTTGGAGCGCATTGAGGCCTGCTGTGAAAAAGGAAATATCTTCAAATAAAAACTAGAGAGAAGCTTTCAGAGAAACTGTTTTGTGATGTGTGCATTCATCTCACAGAGATATTCTTTTCTTTTGTTTCAACAATTTTGAAACACTGTTTTTGTCCATTCTGCAATGGGATATTTGGGAGCTATTGAGGCCTATGGTGAAAAAGAAAATATTTTCAGAGAAAAACTAGAACAAGCTTGCTGAGAAACTGCTTTCTGATGTGTGCATTCATCTCCAGAGTTAAATCTTGCTTTTCATTCAGCAGTTTGGAAACACGGTTTTTGTAGATTATGCCATGGGATATCTGGGAGCACATTGAGACCTATGGTGTAGAAGAAAATATCTTAAAACTAGTATGAAGCTTTCTGAGAAACTGTTCTGTGATGTGTGCAATCACCTCACAGTGGTAAATCTCTCTTTTCTAATAGCCATTTGGAAACAGTTTTTGCGGAATCTGTGAAGGGGCATAAGGGATCCCATTGAGTCCTATGAAGAAAAAGTAAATGTCTTCATATAAAATCTTGAAGGAAGCTCTATGACAAACTGCTTTGTGATGTGTGCATTCATCTCACAGAGTTAATTCTTTTTTTGTTTCAAGAGTTTTGTAACACTGTTTTTGTTCATTCTGTGAAGGGATATTTGGGAGCACTTTGAGGTCTATGGTGAAAAAGAAAATATCTTCAAATAAAAACTAGACAGAAGCTTTCTGAGAAACTGCTTCATGATTTGTGCATTCGTCTCACAGAGTTAATCCTTTCTTTTTATTCAACAGCTTTGAAACACTGTTTTTCTCCATTCTGCAAAGGGATATTTGGGAGTTTATTGAGGCATGTGGTGAAAAAGAAAATATCTTCAAATAAAAACTAGAAAGAAGCTTTCTGAGAAACTGCTTTGAGATGTGTGCATTCATCTCTCAGAGTTAAACTTTTCTTTTTCATTCAACACTTTGGAAACACTGTTTTTGTAGAATCTGTGAAGGAATATTTGGGAGTGCTTTGAGACCCATGGTGTAGAAGAAAATATCTTAAGATAAAAAGTAGAAAGAAGCTTTTTGAGAAACTGCTCTGTGATTGATGTATTCACCTCTCAGAGTTAAATCTTTCTTTTGATCCAGTAGCTTGGAAACATTTTTTCTCCATTCTGCGAAGGGATATTTGGGAGCCCATTAAGGCCTGTGGTGAAAAAAAAGTCTTCAAATAAAACTAGAAAGAAGCTTTCTGAGAAACTGTTTTGAGAGGTGTGCATTCATCTCACAGAGCTAAACCTTTCTTTTTCATTGAACACTTTGGAAACACTGTTTTTGTAGAATCTGTGAAGGGATATTTGGGAGTGCATTGTGACCTATGGTGTAGAAGAGAATATCTTAAAATAAAAAGTAGAAATAAGCTTTCTGAGAAACAATTCTGTGATGGGTGCATTCATCTCACAGAGTTAAACCTTTCTTTTG